>NT_187573.1:0-158983 GCF_000001405.40 Homo sapiens
CGTTGACTAAGAAGTGTTTAGAGGGAGAGCAGGGGCTTTAAAACAATATCTGCACAAATATAGCCCAAATATCAGCTTTAATGAAGTCGATTTCTAACTATAGAGCTCTCAAAAGAAAAATCCTTTTAAAATCTGGCTGGGCATGGAGGCTCACGCCTGTAATCCTAGCACTTTGGGAGGCCGAGGTGGGTGGATCACCTGAGGTCAGGAGTTCGAGACCAACCTAGCCAAGATGGTGAAACCCCATCTCTACTAAAAATATAAAATTAGCCAAGCATAGTGGCGGGCACCTGTAATCCCAGCTACTCGGGAGGCTGAGGCAGGAGAATTGCTTGAACCCAGGAGGCGGAGGTTGCAGTGAGGCAAGATCACACCATTGCACTCCAGCCTGGGCAGCAGGAGTGAAACTCCATCTCAAAAATAAAAATAATAATAATAATAATAATAAATCTTTTATTACTAGATTTCAGCCAGGACAACGGGCCAATATTTCTGGCTTTTGAATTGTTTTACTAAAGGTAAATCAGTGAGCCTTAACAAAGAGGATGACTTAACCACAGATATTCAAAGTGTCTCCAAAGAGATAATAAGTGATTTTTACAAGGTCTAAAATCTCCCCAAAGGTAGTTCAAGACAGAAAATCAGAAGCTGTCCATAGAGGGGAAAATAATCAATAAGCGGCAAAAGTCCAGCAAGTATTAGACCACGAAGGACTCAATCCCAAAGCCAGGAACTGAACCCAGGCCACTATTGCGAAGAACCACCAGAGCCTTAGCTAGCTGATCTGTAGCACAAGGTGGCTGCTGGTGTCTTTCCCAGGAGTCAGTTCCAACAGCAATTCAATCTAAAAAGCCCGCTAAAGTCCAGATGGCAATTTTCCAGGTTTTTACCATATTAGCAAAAGGTATTTCCAGAAAGGGAGTAAAGCAGGCATCTCCGTGATCCCCAAGAATTCACTCTCAGAAATGGGCTTAAGAAAGTGATAGGCGGCCAGGCGCGGTGGCTCACACCTGTAATCCCAGCACTTTGGGAGGCCAAGGCGGGCAGATCATGAGGTCAGGAGATCGAGACCATCCTGGCTAACACGGTGAAACCCTGTCTCTACTAAAAATACAAAAACAAAATTAGCTGGATGTGGTGGTGGGTACCTGTAGTCCCAGCTACTTGGGAGGCTGAGGCAGGAGAATGGCATGAACCCGGGAGGCAGAGCTTGCAGTGAGCTGAGATTGCGCCATTGCACCCCAGCCTGGGCGACAGAGTGAGACTCTGTCTCAAAAAAAAAAAAAGAAGAAGAAGAAAGCGATAGACAGTAAAAGCCCTGTAGGGACGAGACCTTTTAAGACAAAACTCTTGAGAGGGCTCAACACACTCAGGGGAAGAGCAAGGCAACTCATTTCTGACTCCTGGTCCTCTTGGACCAGCCGCCTGACGTGAACTTGAAAATTCCTGCCCTCCAGATGGTGGAGACCAGGAGAGAATTCCTGCACATGGTCACAAAGTCACGCTTTCAAGGACATAAACCAAGACAAGAGGGAAACTTCCTCCAGTTTTTGCTCCAGGAAACCGCAGCAAAGTTTGTCACTGACCAGCCTGTCGGACCAGGTTGAGCCGTGGGCTTCCAGGGGTCCTGAGCTCATGTTTATCCTGTGGTGCCCCCGCTTTATGACAGAACAACAGAGAAAAACGAATTCATAGCACAAGGTACTCCAGATTTGCTACAGGCTCAGACTAGCCTCACAAATCCTTCTTCTCATTAATAAACAGTGGTTTTTACCATTCACTCAACCAGTATGCACAGAGAGAGAGGGCCCAGAAGCCTGGCTGGTAAGGCATTATTATTATTATTATTATTATTATTATTTTTGAGGTGGAGTTTTACTCTTATTGCCCAGGCTGGAATGCAATGGTGTGATCTCAGCTCACTGCAACCTCCGTCTCCCAGGTTCCAGTGATTCTCCTGCCTCAATCCCCCAAGTAGCTGGGATTACAGCCGCCCACCACCACACCTGGCTAATTTTTTTTTTTTTTTTGTATTTTTAGTAGGGACGGGGTTTTACCATGTTGGCCAGGCTGGTCTTGAACTCCTGACCTCAGGTGATCCGCCCGCCTTGGCTTCCCAAAGTGCTGGGATTACAGGCATGAGCCACTGCGCCCAGCCCGGTAAGACATTCTTACCCTGTTGCTGGCATGCCAGGTTTTTTGGGTCCCCTTTCCCTGGGCTGCCCTGGTGACCCTGCTCACAGCACCAACCACAGCTATGGGGGCGAAGCCACATCACAAAGGAAAATCACCTTTTTCCACTTCATGGAATCACAGGGGGAAAAAACCTCTCGATTTTGCAAGATGCTGCCCAGTGAGCTGCATGGGGAACCGGTAAAATTAACATTTTCCATCCCAGCTGTCGCAAAATACAAGGAAACAGACACAGGTCACCTCGCTCAGCAGCCAACATTGACCGCACAAGGCTCAGACTTGCCCCCTGTGGTCCCTGGTGTCTTTGATGCACTCAAGGTGGGGAGGGATGACCTCTCACTGGGAATTCAATGGGTGGTATTTGGGCCAGATGGACGAGCGGACGGACACCCCCAGTCAGGCCTGTTGAGCTTCCACTAACAATTCCTTCAGGGCTCACCAAATGGGACCACACAAATAAGGAGGCTTCTCTGAGTGAGGCTTGCTGGACTTCCGTCAGCGACTCCTTCAGAGATCCCCCCCACGTGTTCAAACACACACACGACACCACCACAAGTGTTTCCACTCAGAGGCACTCACCACGCAGAAGCCGGGTCCAGCTGTCACGGAATCCAAAACCAAGCGGGGGTGACAGAAAGGAAAATAAGATCTTGGGTCCCCAGACTCACTATGCCAAAGGAAAAAGTTAAGCTTAGAAACTGAGTCATGCAAAAAACAAAAACAAAAACAAAAAAAACCCCTGCCTTTCCTTTTGTTCTTAAACAGACAGCTACAAGATAGAAGGCCACGTGTCTCCCCAGGTGGCCTCCCTCACCTGAAAATGTAAACGAACAACAAATCAGCCAGGCACGGTGGCTCGTGGCTCACGCCTGTAATCCCGCACTTTGGGAGGCTGAGGCGGGTGGATCACCTGAGGTCAGGAATTCGAGACCAGCCTGGCCAACATGGCAAAACCCCCATCTCTACAAAAATACAGAAATTAGCCAGGCGTGGTGGTAGTGCATGCCTGTAATCCCAGCTACTCAGGAGGCTGAGGCAGGAGAATCGCTTGAACCCGGGAGGCAGAGGTTGCGGTGAGTTGAGATTGCGCCACTGCACTCCAGCCTAGATAACAGAGTGGGGCTCCATCTCAAAAAAAACACACACACACACACACAAATCAACTGTTCCTCTGGCCCCCACTTTCACCTGCAACCTGGAGAGCAGTGGACACTGATCACAGCCTCACAAGAATATGACCCTCCCTTTTTTCCTTTCCTCCTTCCCCTGCGGCCACTTCTTTCTTTAACTATTGAAGCCCCAAAACCCTCTTTGGAAAAGGAGTGGGCTGCACACCCTACTGTGTTTTCTGCCTCTTTTTCCCGGGCATGGCTTCAACCTTGGCAAAGTGAACCTCTGAACTGGTTGAGACCTGTCTCAGTCACTCTGTGGGAGGGGCCTCCCCTGAGGTTGGGGAAGATGTCCCAAGAGGAGGGACAAGCAGCAACTCAGGGAGGCCTGGAGCCAACTTCGGTTTCAGGGTTGAGCCAGGGTCAAGGTGGCAGTGGAAGTTACAGGAAGAGCCTAAGGCCCCAGTGGTGGGAGCAGATGCTGAAATCCCCGGGAGCACTTTGGACTGTGCCCTGGGAGAGGCGGGAACCAAGCCTGAGAGCAGAGTACTGGCAGCTGCACGTTGGAATGTGAAGCCTGGACACAGGGAGGTCAGGCAGCGAGCTCACCTCACGGCAGCCCAGCCAGAGAGTCAGCCTGCTCTCCCCGCACTGAGCCAAGGCTGGGAGACAGCCTACCTCCCACCAGAGCCAGCAGGCAGGTCCCAGCCCAGCCTGCCCCGTCCCGCCCCAGCCTGCCCTGTCCTGCCATCTGCACTCCCCGTCAGGCCTCCTGGCCAGCCCCACAGTCCCTGCCTTCCAAGAGACACAGGCAGCGGCAGCAGGGGCTGGATGGGGGAGGCCAAGAATCAGAGGCGCTCCCCCACAGGACCCCTGAATCGTGGCCAGAGAAAGGTCAGGGCAGGATGAGGCCTGTGGCCACGGGCAGATCTCAGGTGGCTGACCCGTCCTAGGAGCACACAGGGCAGCTGTGGCTCCTTCCCTCTTGAACCCAGAAAACAGGGCAGAGCTCATCGGTGGCCTCATCTGCCAGCCCCAGCAGTAAGGCCACCGGCTCATTCTTCATGGGGCAGCAGCATCTGGCTTTCTGGCTCCAGACACCGCCTGCTGGGCCAGGCCTTCAACCAGGTCCCTCCTGACAGCAGGCACGCCTGAGTCCAGACCCGAGACAGAGCCGGGAGGCAGCCTGCAGCAAACGTGCCCCAAACTCCACAGGCGCCTAACCCAGTCCTGCCAGGGGAAAGTGCTCAAGGCTCTGCCCTCTCGCTGGAGGCCCACTGCTCACTCTCACCCGTGGGACTTCTCCCCACAGGCCCCAGCAGCCTCCTCCCGTCATCTGAGACGCTACCAGGACAAAAGTCTTCCACAACTAGGGCCAAAGGCCTCTTAGTCATGGAAGTCTCCCTGAACCTATTCTGGTTCGGAGGTTGCCTGGTTTAAAATTTTAAAAATTAAAAAAACAAAAGCCTCCGCATGACAGCAGGCCCGTCCCAGTCTTATGATCTCTCTGCTCTGGTGTGGGAGGAGGAGGGAGTGCCGTGTGAGGAGGAGGGAGTGCCGTGTGAGGAGGAGGAGGGAGTCCTGTGTGAGGAGGAGGGAGTCCCGTGTGAGGAGGAGGGAGTCCCGTGTGAGGAGGAGGGAGTGCTGTGTGAGGAGGAGGAGGGAGTCCTGTGTGAGGAGGAGGGAGTCCCGTGTGAGGAGGAGGGAGTCCCGTGTGAGGAGGAGGGAGTCCCGTGTGAGGAGGAGGGAGTGCTGTGTGAGGAGGAGGAGGGAGTCCTGTGTGAGGAGGAGGGAGTGCCGTGTGAGGAGGAGGGAGTCCCGTGTGAGGAGGAGGGAGTCCCGTGTGAGGAGGAGGGAGTCCCGTGTGAGGAGGAGGGAGTGCTGTGTGAGGAGGAGGAGGGAGTCCTGTGTGAGGAGGAGGGAGTGCCATGTGAGGAGGAGGGAGTCCTGTGTGAGGAGGAGGGAGTCCCGTGTGAGGAGGAGGGAGTGCTGTGTGAGGAGGAGGAGGGAGTCCTGTGTGAGGAGGAGGGAGTCCCATGTGAGGAGGAGGGAGTCCTGTGTGAGGAGGAGGGAGTCCCGTGTGAGGAGGAGGGAGTGCCGTGTGAGGAGGAGGAGGGAGTCCTGTGTGAGGAGGAAGGAGTCCCATGTGAGGAGGAGGAGGGAGTCCTGTGTGAGGAGGAGGGAGTGCTGTGTGAGGAGGAGGGAGTCCTGTGTGAGGAGGAGGGAGTCCTGTGTGAGGGGGAGGGAGTGCCGTGTGAGGGGGAGGGAGTCCCGTGTGAGGAGGAGGGAGTGCCGTGTGAGGAGGAGGGAGTCCCATGTGAGGAGGAGGGAGTCCTGTGTGAGGAGGAGGGAGTGCCGTGTGAGGAGGAGGGAGTGCCGTGTGAGGGGGAGGGAGTCCCGTGTGAGGAGGAGGGAGTCCCGTGTGAGGAGGAGGGAGTGCTGTGTGAGGAGGAGGAGGGAGTCCTGTGTGAGGAGGAGGGAGTGCCGTGTGAGGAGGAGGGAGTCCCGTGTGAGGAGGAGGGAGTCCTGTGTGAGGAGGAGGGAGTCCCGTGTGAGGAGGAGGGAGTCCCGTGTGAGGAGGAGGGAGTCCTGTGTGAGGAGGAGGGAGTCCCGTGTGAGGAGGAGGAGGGAGTCCTGTGTGAGGAGGAAGGAGTCCCATGTGAGGAGGAGGAGGGAGTCCTGTGTGAGGAGGAGGGAGTGCTGTGTGAGGAGGAGGGAGTCCTGTGTGAGGAGGAAGGAGTCCCATGTGAGGAGGAGGAGGGAGTCCTGTGTGAGGAGGAGGGAGTGCCGTGTGAGGAGGAGGAGGGAGTCCTGTGTGAGGGGGAGGGAGTCCTGTGTGAGGGGGGAGGGAGTCCTGTGTGAGGAGGAGGAGGGAGTGCTGTGTGAGAAGGAGTGCTGCTACGTAAGAAGGAGGTAGATGTGTGGGGGGAGAGTTGGCATTCGGCCCGGTCAGGACTCCATGGCCCTTGTTACAGTTGTGGGTAGAAATGGAATCTCTGTGACATCTCCTGCTCCCCTTTCACCTGCCCCAAGGCAGGTCTCCAGTACTCCCTCTCCTTTCTGATCATGGGCCCAAAGAGGCTCATTCAGAGAGGATCAGTCCCATGCCCTGGGGGCAGGAATGCTGAGCACATAGAGGTTTCCTGGAGGGGCCACGTGGGCGGCATGGAAGCTCCCCACCCCTTCCGGGAGACGGCGCCCTGTGCCTCTCGCGTGTATCCATTTATAATTAACTGCAAATGTGTTTCCCTGAGTTCCCTGAGCCACTCTTGCAAATCAATTGAACGCAAAACCGGGAGGGGCTGCAGTATTGCTGGGAAAGAGGGTCCTGATCCAGACCCCAAGAGCAGGTTCTTGGATGTTGTGCAGGAAGTAATTTGGGGTGAGCCACAGAGCACAGTGAGAGAAGCAGGTTTATTTGAAATGGCTCCGTTCCAGAGTGGGGCGTGCTCAGAAAGCAGGAGGAGGAGGGCCTGTCCTCTGTTAGTGCCTCTGCTTACAAGAAACTGTAAGGAGCTACAATTACACCTGGAATGGGCAGATGCACCCACTAAGGATAGGGGCTGTGGGTGCCATCAGTGCCCGTTCATCCTCCAACCTCAGGCTGCTCATTGAAATTATCTCTGAGTAAAGTGGCCTGCACTCTTGGGTTATCTGGACAGTCTGCGGGCTTGCTGGGAGATGCCCCATATGGCCACAAATATTCTGTAATTATAATTGGTGTCCAGCTTGAGACATGGCTATTTTTAGACCATAAGCATTAACCTTATAGGTGCCTTGTGAGTGCCTCCTACTCACTTCAAGATGGAGTCACTCTGGTCATGTTTCATTAAACCAGAGGCCTGGTGAGCAAGCGTTCCTCTAACAGTGGGAACCTCAACGTCGGGCCAGTCGGTAAGAAGTTCCAGAGGCTGGCCCTCGCAGCTCATGTGTGTGCATATGTGTGTGTGTGTGTGTGTGTGTGTGTGTGTGTAGGTGTCTGGATCTGACGCTATCTGCAGGTACCGGAATGGTGTTGGAGGACACTCGGCTGGTGTCCGCTGCAGAACTGATGGCTTGCTCGGTGGCGGGGAGACGTCCACCTGCCACATTTGGCCCCAGCAGTCTTGGGAGTCTCCTGTGTTGATGTCTTCTGTGTTGAGTGAGAGACAGGATAAATGGTTTGAGAGTTTTTTCCAAACAGCCCTCCTCCTAATGCAGCTTGTTTTCTGAATCAGAGGGTCCTGTCTTGAAGGGGGCAAACCCACCCGTGCTTTCGTCCCACAGTTCTTACTGAGCCCCTGCCATGGCAGGGATGGCCCCAGGTGCCGGCTGCAGAGACAGAACCCCCTGCCCTCACCGCCAACATTCCAGAGGGGAAGATGCCCTGCCTGTGCCCCACGTAAGACCCAGAGGCAGGGACTCCCCCGGGCCACAGCCTACTGGAGGCTCCTGTCCCCAGAGACAGCTGGGCCATCGCCCCCAAAGCTGTGGAAGCCCCACCCACGATGCCATCATACCACGGCCAGGACATCTCGTGACACACACAGCCCCAGCCTCAGCCTCCATACACACACACACACGCACCACACACACTCACTCATGCAAAACACACACACAGCCACATTGACTGCACCCCTAGATTTGAGACAGGGGTGTTACAGGTGTCTGTCAGCCCCAGCCCCCTCCTGACCACATGGCCACCTGCCCACCCTCACATTTCCGCACACCCTCCCCCTACTCCCGTGTGGGGTTCAGAAGACCCCTCCCTGGTGCTCGCCCTGTCACCCAGAAAGGAAACGCACTGTCAACTGGAGAACAGGCCGGTGGCAGAGCCCCAGCGCCCACAGCCCCTCGGAGAGGGCCTGGCGGGAGGAGAGGCACCCACCGATGGCAGAGCCTCAGTGCCCTCGCAGAAGCCAGCACCCACAACCTCCCACCTCCCAACCCTTGCCGGTCTCCCCACCCCCGCCTGAGGGATGGCCAAGGAACAGCCCAGCCTGGAGCGGGAAGCAGGGACAAGATGACCTCAGGAATCCCAGGCTGCGGGGGTGCCTGCGTCCTCCCCTCCCGAGCTCCACTCCGCAGGCGAGACCCCCAACACTGCTCCCCGACACTCTCCGAGGCACCCCTCCTCCGTGCTCACACCCAAACACGTCTGCTCACCCGTGGGCTTCCCACCCCGAACACAACGAGGACTGTCCAGGTGTCAGTGACGGTCACCCCGACCTGGTCCCCTGTCCGGCCTCGCCAGGTCAGCACCCGCCGCGCGCACAGCAGGGCCGGGTGGAAGGAGGCCGGGCCTGGCCGTGGCTCAGGCGCCACCTCACTGGGGAAACTGGGAGGTGGTCTCAGCCCCCTTCTGGGCCTCAGCTTCCCCATCTATCCCAAGGAGCCGGGGTAGGCCTGGGCGGCGCGGGGACCCCCACCGCGGGCTCGCCGACTCCGCCCGCCGGAGGCCCCTCCCGCGTCCCGCCCCTGCCCCCGCCCCGGGGCCGCGCGGCTGCCTGGGAGGCTCCGGGCCAGCCGCGGTCCAGAGCGCGCGAGGTTCGGGGAGCTCGGCCAGGCTGCTGGTACCTGCGTCCGCCCGGCGGTGAGTCCGCGGGCCCCCGGCCGGGACGCCCCCGCCACCTGCGCGCACGCGCTCAGACCCGGCGGCCTCGGCTGCGGTGCACGCGGCCCCGGCTCAGCCACGCGCGGCGGAAGGCGCCCTGCGGGGGCCGGGGCGGGAGAGGGTGGGAGAGAGCAAGAGGGGCGCACGGGGAGGCGCAGGAGAGGGGCTGGGGCTGCCGGTGGGTTGGTCCCCAGAGAGCTGAGCTTCTCCTCCCATCCCCCGCAGGCCTCCCCGAATGTTTCCAAAGATCTGGGGCGGGAGCGGGCGGAGACTGCCGCCAGGAGCCTCCCGGCCGCCCCAGGGCTGCGCAGCCACTGGAGCCCATCACCCAACTCCAGACGCTCCTGGCTCCTCTACGTGGGCCGGGAGGGACAGCCTTGAGGACTAGGGGAGGGGGCACGGGACCTTGCAGAGCTCCTGGCCGGAAAGGGAGGATTGACCGCCCCCGGCATATCACCCCGGAGCACTGGAACCCGCCCCCGCTTCTTGTTTTGGCACTGGTGGTGCTTGCGGTGAGGTCCAAGGAGCCCAGCCTCCCTGAGTGGACCGCCGGGCCCCTCCCCGTTCCGGGACACAGGAGAGGCTCCCGCCCCTTGCTGGCTGGGCAGCCCCTAGATACCTGGCTCCCAGGGGCCAGCTTCCCTGAGCCTGGGGATGAGCCATGAGCCTGCAGCCTGGGCCCCAGGGGCGCCCCCCACGGCCTGCCGGCTGGCTCCCTCCGGGCTCCATGGCCCACCCGGCCTTCCTAATTGCCTTCGGCTCCCACCGGTGCCTTAGCTCAGCCTGGTGGCCCAGCGGGTTGGGTGCCACCCAGTGAGCAGGTGGCGGCACCAGCTGGACCTGTTTGTGGCCCTGTATGCTAGGACTTCCTCAGAGACAGCTCAGGGACCCCCCCACACCAGAACCTCACTTTAGGGGGGTGGGGGGAAAAGGAATTGGAGATCCTTCCTCCTCGGGCTACTCCCTGGAGGCGGGGATAGGCCCCAGCCGGACTTGGCACTGTTTTTGGCCACCTGGGGCTCCCACTCCCAACCCCAGGATGTCAGCCCAGGTCTCACTGTCCTGGCCTGCTGCTCTCCCCTTAGGGCCTCTGCGGGCCCCTCTCCAGATCTGTTCTCTGAGGCATCCTCCTTACCCCCAGTGCCCAGCACTAGCTCCCCAGGCCCGGGATGTCCCTCCCACTCCTCTGCCCACGGCTGTCCCTGACAGAAGGCAGCAGCCTCCCCCTCCAACACCATGCACTCACAAAACAGAGAATCACGACCCCAGCTGGGTGTGTTCCAGATTCTTTCTCCAGCAGTGCAGAGGGTCCTGTGCAGAGGCCGAGGAGCAGTACAGCGACCCATCTGGCCCTTTCCTGCTGGTGGGACCAGTGGCACGCAGCCTTGTCTCTCGGAGCCCATTTCCCAGCCACAGAATGGGGAGTAGCAGATACTGAGTGGGGTGCTTTCCTCGGAACTGAGTAACATCAGGAATGGGGAGTGCTTTCCCCCTCAGCCATGCCCCACCTGGCCCCAGGTCTCCATGTGAGGGGAGCTGCCTGGGCTCAAAACACTGAGCCATCCCAAGGAAAATTCTAGATACAGATTAGCTAATATACACTGACAGATACACATATAGATGTGTATATAGATTTCTCTTTTTTTTGAGACAGGGTCTCACTCTGTTGCCCAGGCTGCAGTGCAGTGGCATGATCATAGTTCACTTCAGTCTTGAACTCCCTGGCTCAAGAGATCCTCCCACCTCAGCCTCCCAAGTAGCTGACCACAGGCACGTACCACGCCCGGCTAATTTTTGTATTTTTTGTAGAAACAGGAGGTCTCACTGTGTTGCCCAGGGTGGTCTCAAACCCCTGGCCTCATATGATCCTCCTGCCTTGGCCTCACATAGCATGGAGATTACAGGCGTGAGCCCCTGTACCCAGCCCCAGACTAGCTAATATTATGACTGATCACCATTCCCCATTCCCCATTCCCCCACCCCAGGACCACTGGCAGAGGCCACTCACTCTGCCTTCTTTTCTGTGGTTCTGAGAAGGCTGCTGAGTTTCCTCCTCTTGCCTGTGCAGCCCCCTCCTGCCAGGTTTCAGGAGGGAGATAGCCTAGAGCATGTCTGCACTGAGTGAGGAGTGGGTCAGGAGAGAAGCAGGGAAGTCCTTGTGTGCTGGCAGGTCCCTTCCCCTCTGCTGTCTGTGTCCTCATCTGCAAAGTGGGGGTGCATGGTCTTGGGGAGGAGTGAGGCACCACCCGGCCCCCTAACCAGTGTGTCTCTCCAGAGCAGGACAGGCTGCTTTGGTTTGTGACCTCCAGGCAGGACGGCCATCCTCTCCAGAATGAAGATCTTCTTGCCAGTGCTGCTGGCTGCCCTTCTGGGTGTGGAGCGAGGTGAGGTGCCCTTGGGGACCCCAGACCTTTGTCCAGCTGTGCCCTGCTCCACTCCCTCTCCACCCCTCTCCCCTGAGCAGACGCCCCAGGGGTCCTTCCAGGCCGCTCCCAGCAGAGGGCTCACCCGGCCTGGCCACACTGTCTCACTGTGTGTTTGAGTGTCGCTTGACCTGCTCGACGGCCAGGGTGGGGTGTCACTGTCTTTGCTCTGCCTTCAGCCCAGGGCCTGGTATACAGTAATTTCTCAGTAAATGTCCACTGGGGTCAGGCCTGGGAGGGACACTGGAGGCTTCCCTGAGACAGGTGTGTCCTCCTTCCGCAGCCAGCTCGCTGATGTGCTTCTCCTGCTTGAACCAGAAGAGCAATCTGTACTGCCTGAAGCCGACCATCTGCTCCGACCAGGACAACTACTGCGTGACTGTGTCTGCTAGTGCCGGCATTGGTGAGTGCCAGGCCTCAGACCGTGCCTTCCTCCCCTGGCCATCTCCCTAGCCCGGGCCGGGGCTCAGCAGAGGCCATTGCTGTCTGTCTGCAGCCGTCTGTCTCTCCCCTGACAGCCTCATTTCCCATGCAGGGAATCTCGTGACATTTGGCCACAGCCTGAGCAAGACCTGTTCCCCGGCCTGCCCCATCCCAGAAGGCGTCAATGTTGGTGTGGCTTCCATGGGCATCAGCTGCTGCCAGAGCTTTCTGTGCAATTTCAGTGCGGCCGATGGCGGGCTGCGGGCAAGCGTCACCCTGCTGGGTGCCGGGCTGCTGCTGAGCCTGCTGCCGGCCCTGCTGCGGTTTGGCCCCTGACCGCCCAGACCCTGTCCCCCGATCCCCCAGCTCAGGAAGGAAAGCCCAGCCCTTTCTGGATCCCACAGTGTATGGGAGCCCCTGACTCCTCACGTGCCTGATCTGTGCCCTTGGTCCCAGGTCAGGCCCACCCCCTGCACCTCCACCTGCCCCAGCCCCTGCCTCTGCCCCAAGTGGGGCCAGCTGCCCTCACTTCTGGGGTGGATGATGTGACCTTCCTTGGGGGACCGCGGAAGGGACGAGGGTTCCCTGGAGTCTTACGGTCCAACATCAGGACCAAGTCCCATGGACATGCTGACAGGGTCCCCAGGGAGACCGTGTCAGTAGGGATGTGTGCCTGGCTGTGTACGTGGGTGTGCAGTGCACGTGAGAGCACGTGGCGGCTTCTGGGGGCCATGTTTGGGGAGGGAGGTGTGCCAGCAGCCTGGAGAGCCTCAGTCCCTGTAGCCCCCTGCCCTGGCACAGCTGCATGCACTTCAAGGGCAGCCTTTGGGGGTTGGGGTTTCTGCCACTTCCGGGTCTAGGCCCTGCCCCAAATCCAGCCAGTCCTGCCCCAGCCCACCCCCACATTGGAGCCCTCCTGCTGCTTTGGTGCCTCAAATAAATACAGATGTCCCCCAGCTTCCTGCTCTGAGTGTGGCTGCCCCTTGCGGGGAGAGGCAGAGCACCCCAGGTTTGGAGGGTCCTGGGGTCTTCTGTGGTATGGCCCAGGGGGGTGGTGGGGGAGGAGGAGTCGTCCCCTGAGCCACAGCCAGCTGCTTGCCTGACCTCAGAGGGAGCCCCTCCCCAGTGCTCTGCCCTTTCTTCTGCCCCAGGTTCAGCAGGTCAAGTGAGTTCCTCCTCCCACAGCGGAAGGAGGTGTTGGGGGGCATGGAGGAAAGAAAGCGGGTGCAAGAAGGAGCACGCTCAGGCTGGGGCAGCACCCAGGGCCGTAGGACTTGGGAATGGAGGGTGTCTGTCTGGACCCGCTGGTGCAGAGGGTACAAAAGCTGGGCTGGGGCAGGACAGACGGGCCGGAGTGTAGTGAGTGGCCTGTGGGAGGGGCAGGGGGCTCCCACGCAGAAGCTCTGGGCAGCAGCCCTGACCCATCCGTGCCTGGACTGCAGTGCTGCCCGCTTCCCCCTGGCAAACAGGTGGCAGCCTCCTGACAGAGGAAGCCGGCCCAGGCCGCCGTGTCTGCAGTTGGGTGCTGTGCGCTGCCCAGAGGGCTCTTTGGGCTGGAGAGAGAAAACAAGAACAGACACCCAGTGGAGGTGTGTTTGTTCATTTCTCCGGGACAGTGGGAGGGAGCCGGCCAGGGTCTCAGCCACTTAGGGCCCGACCCTGAATTTTCCCGGCTGGCCAGAAACTGTGGTGTGTGTGTGTCAGGATCCCAGGGGCACCGTCCAGCAGGAGGGGCCGGTGGTCAACGTGGAGGCCCGAGATTCCCACCCCTGGCAGCTGATGTGAATAGCCGGGTCCTCCCAGGTCCCTGAGGTCAAGGCAGGTCAAAGACCTGTGTCCTCCTCCTGGGTCCCTGAGCTAGTGATTCCTGTCTGAAACACATGAATCATTACTGCCACCCATGAGGGGCCCATTGTAACCGAGCGAGAGGGCCTGGAAGAGGTCAGCGGGAGGAGGGGCCTGATCGGTGGATCAGCTATCCCTGTGCAAGGACCCGGAGCCCATCAGAGCAGCCTGCAGAGACTGAGCTTGAGATTCCGTCGGGAGTTTGGATTCGCTGAGTGGGTCGCTCTAGCATTGAGAAATGCAAGCAGAGAACAGAGGGTGGAAACCAGATGGTCCAGGAGCCTGGGCACTGTAGCCAGGAGGACAGAGATCCCGGTGTTCGGGCCCCGGTGTGCAGTGCGTTCACTGCATTGTTCACTCGGAATCGCAGGTGGCTTTGCTGGAGGGACAGACAGTTGATCATAGTGGAGCTGGTGAGAGGAAGCTGCACCCAAAAGCCATGGCCGGGAACCTGGATCTGACTGCAGGGAAACAGAAGCGTGGTGGGCGCTGGGCGATGATGGAATTTCTAACAAATGCTTTGTTTCTGCTAAAGCTAACTTGCGCTTCCATCTCTGGCATCTCCTCCACTTCCCAGGTGAGCTGACTGGTTACTGAGCCTCACAACCACACTGAGACGGGGGCGCAGTCATCCCCTCGTTTCCCCAGGGGAGACAGGCTCAGAGTGGAAGCCGCTTGTCCTCCTAGGATCTGGGACTCGGGGCCCAGCTCTCCCTCTGCTCTGGGTTTAGGGCTGAGGTCAGAGGCAGCCCTGACCTCCTGCTGGTGGTGGGTAGGGTAGTCCCGCCGGGTTCCTGCTGCCCCGCCCTCGGGAGGCTGGAGGCCCCCCAAGGACAGGTGGTTTCCAGGAGCAGCGGGAGGGAGCCCGGGTTGTGTCCTGGGCCTGGAGCAGAGAGGGGAGGAGCCCAGCGCCTGAGTTTCAATTTCCTGAAGCCTGGGGGAGGGAGAGGAAGAGAGCCTCGTTTCGTTTCGGGGCTCTGGACCTGAGCCTCCCGCCCAGGGCCCACCGCACCCCGCTAGGACCTGGGATTTCCCAGTCTCCACACCGGCCCGGAACTGGGCCCCCTCCTCTCCGCAGCCCATCCAGCCCCACTTCCCCGCTTCCCCGCTTCCCAGCATCTGCCCGCGGATGAGCCTCTGGAGGATGGGCGGCCCGTCCCGGCGCTGCCCCTCACCCACCCCCCACCGCTCAACCCCTGTGGGGACTTCCTGCAGTGAGGCCCAGGCAGGACGCTGCGCTGCCTCCCCCATCCACAGCCTCTGCCCCCTTGACACCCCCGCCCTCTGCGGTGCCTTGCAGGAGTCGCCAGCCTGTGGGCCCGGGACCATTTCACACGCTGTCCACAGTCGTGGAAACCCGGCAGCCACAGCAGGCCTGGGCCCACGGTGCCTCCACCCCTCCGTCAGCCCCCAGCAAGTCTTCCTGGGGGTCCCCAGCCCTGAGTGCGAGACCCTCCAGGCTGCTTCTGGACCTCGGGGCTGGGGCTGAGCCCGATCCTGGCTGGAAATGAGTGCAGGGCCGGGCTGCCTGGGGGAAGGCCCTCCAGTCTCTGAGCCCCACCCTGGGGAATTTGCTGGGACACCTTGAAGGCCGCAGGCCAGACCCCAGGGGTTAATAAGGGAACAAAGTCCTTGGGCGAACACCTGCATTTACTATCTGAGCCAGCAGGCAGCTAGGATGCTGGGTGAGGGGGTCTCTGGGCTGCTGGGCGGCCAGGCGGGGGCATCGGGGCAGGAGCTGAGGGCTGCACTGGGCAACCACCCTGAGCTCCTGTTTACCCACCAGGGGCAGTGCCAGGGCGGGCTGGGCTCACAGCAGAGCCCAGAGGAAGGGGCTCAGGCTGAGCAGGAGCTCCCTGACAGCCTGGCACCAGAGGCCACGCCGCACTGTGGCCGCCTTGTTACGGAGGCTATTTTCACAGCAGGTCATGTCCAGCTTCTCAATCTTCGAGTCAATCAGTCTATCCTCAATTTCTGTGGGGTAAGACCCTCCAGGGACCACAGGATGGGTGAGGTTCATAATCTGGGCACAGAGTGGGGCCACAGCCCTTGCTAGTGTAGCTGAGCTTCTGCCCTGTGGGCAAGAGAGGAGGGTGTCTGGCACAGGAGGCCCCACCCGACCCCCTCGGACCCGCCCCAGGACCGCCCCCTTCAGGGAACCTTGAAGCCAGTGGGGACGCGGAGGCGAGCAGAAGAGAACGGGCGGCGGCCCCAGGCCCCACACCAAGTCTGCAGTCCATTAGATGGAGGTCCCTGAGCTCTGTCCCCAGATCTAAGCTTCCACCAGGCCAGGGGGCTCAAGGCAGAGCCCCTGGGATGCTGCCAGAGAGTGCCCTGCCCACCCCTCACCTGCCTACAGACGCTGGGTCCCACCCAGGACTCACCATCGATAGTGCCAGTGACCACAGAGGAGGGGCAGCTTTGAGCCTGCATGGGATAGGAGACGGGGTGACACAGGCTGGGGTCCAGGACACCGTAGCACTGGAAGCACTCAAGGCCCTGGCCTGGGATGGGGCGGGGAGGGTGCAGGTCAGGGTCGCAGGCTGAAGGGTGGGTTCCAGTCCCTCTCACCAGCACCGGCAGCAGGCCTGGGCAGCACACAGGTAGGCTCAGGTGCCCTTGGCTACTCAGAATTGTGGGCAGGGTCCTGCTGGCATCTGGAGCCCCCAGCATCAAGAGGGTCTTACTCCCACCTTCAGGCCTCCTTCCCATCCCCCACCCTCAGCCAGCAGCAGCATGGGGCTAGTGACCTTCATGGTCTTGGGTATGGGTGCATTGAGGGCACGTGTGGCACAGAGGCTCTGAGCCTGGGAAGAGCTAGGGGAGGCCTTGCACCCCCGAGCCTGGGAACCTCTGCCCCACTTCTGGTTTGTGATGAGGAACCCGGATTGTTTGTGTAAAGTGCACACAGCTGATGGCCTCATCCCATCATCTCACAGAATGGGAATTGAGGGGTAGAAACCCTTCCTTCCTGACCTGGCTGCTCTGGAAGGCAGACATGACCTTGAGCAAGACCCCTCTCACCCCACCCCTTCTCTGCCTGGGGCCTCCCAGAGCTCAGGGTGTGAGCAGAACAGATCCGGAGGGAGGAGGGGCTGCGGTGAGGAGAGGAGGGGCTGCGGTGAAGAGAGGAGGGGCTGCGGTGAGGAGAGGAGGGAGAGGTTGTCCCCTGGGGTGGGAGGACGCCTTAGGAGAAGTTCTGACTCAATAGAGAGGAGGGTCCTGGACTAGGGCCTTGAGTTTCAGTTTCAGTTTCCTGGTACATCACAGTGTTGGTGTCTGAAGCAGGAGAGAAAAGCAGCCGTGAGACCTCAGGTCACACCCAGGACCAGGCCCTTCCCGCTCAGGATGAGGGTCTCTGGCTGAGCCCACCACTGGCAGGCCCCCGTGCAGACAGAGCCTGGGAGGGGCCAGCAGGGCAACAAGCTCTGACACTGAGACCCCAAGCCAGGCACCCCTTGTTTTCTGTGCAGGGAGCAGAGGCCCCTGTAACGGGGTGGGACGACATGGGGGCTCCCTTGGGGCAGGGGAGGAGGGGTCCAGAACTCTGTCCTGGCCACAACCGGAACCACCCCTGTCCCTCCCCCCTGCCCACCCCCATCACACCCACACCCGAATTTGTTCTTCACGGAGAATCAGAAGACACAGGAAATGGGCCAGGGGTGACTGACTGCAGACTCCACCCCCCCTCCCCAACCAGGTGCTGGGCAGAAGGAAGAGAGGGCTGCCTGGGCTGTGGGGACAGAGCCCTTGATGAAGACAGATAAAGGCAGCAGACCTGCATAAGGATGGGTCGCCTCTCCGGTGGGTGGTCCCTTCCGAAAAGCAGAATCCACTCTGTGCCCTCAGGGGTCTCTGCTTGGAGAGTCCATGGCATCTGAGAGGATGGGCCAGGTGAGGTGGGGGTGGCTCCTGAGAGCAGGGAGGACAAGGGCGGAGCTGGAGGCGTCAGGCCCAGAAGACCCCCCCAGTGACTCGGGGCAGCTGTGGGCAAGGCTTGGACCCAAGAGGCCTGACCACCCCGCCTGGCAGCACACCAGAGCACAGGCCAGACCTGAAGGGGCAGCGCCAGGGGGGCCCATGGTCCACGGGTCACTCTGCTGGCCCTGCGGCCACACTGCTCAGGTCCCAGGGCCTGATGATGGCTGAGCCAGACATCATAACACCAAGCAATGGAGAAGTTAGAATATTGCTAGGGATACTGACTTGTATTTTTGAATCTTAAAATATATGTTTTAATCTGACATCTATAAGCAGTGCATGTTACATGCCAGTCAGAGCACGAGCATCCCCAAGAGGTGTGCACTCTGTGTATCTATGGATAATGAAAGCACGGCTTTCACACAGCAAGTTATCCTCACTTCCTGTGATCAACTCTGATATCTTCTACTTTATTTGAAAGAGTATTGATTGTGTCCCACTCGACTGATTTTACACCCTCTATGTACATGGTCCCCAGTTTATGGGCAGGGCGGTTATTTTGTGTTTTATTTTGTTTTTGAGACGGAGTCTTGCTCTGTCGCCCAGTCTGGAGTGCAGTGGCGCGATCTCGGCTCACTGCAACCTCCGCCTCCCGGGTTCCAGCGATTCTCCCGAGTAGCTGGGATTACAGGCGCCCGCCACCATGCCCGGCTAATTTTTTTATTTTTAGTAGAGATGGGGTTTCACCATGTTAGGCTGGTCTCAAACTCCTGACTTCAAGTGATTTGCCTGCCTCAGCTTCCCAAAGTGCTGGGATTACAGGCATGAGCCACCACACCTGGCCTGTTATGTTTTTTGAGATAGGGTCTCCCTCTGTCACCCAGGCTAGAGTGCAGTGGTACAATCACAGCACATTGCAGCCTCAACCTCCCTCCCAACCTCAACCTGCAGGGGAGGGGAGGGAGAGGAAGGGAGGCTCATCTCAGGGCTCTGAACCTGAGCCTCCCACCAGGGATTTCCCAGTCTCCACACTGGCCTGGAACTGGGCGCCCTCCTCTCTGCAGCCCCATCCAGCCCCCACTTCCCAGCATCTGCCCACGGATGAGCCTCCGGAGGATGGGCAGCAAGTCCTGGCACTGCCCCTCACCCGCCCCCCACCACTCAGCCCCTGTGGGGACCTCAGGAGGTAAGGCCCAGGCAGGACCCTGTGCCACCTCCCCCATCCACAGCCTCTGCCCCCTTGACGCCCTTGTTACAGAGGCTCTTTTCACAGCAGGTCATGTCCAGCTTCTCAGTCTTCAATCAATCAGTCCATTCTCAGTTTCTATGGGGTAAGACCCTCCAGGGACCACAGGATGGGTGAGGTTCATAATCTGGACACACAGGGAGGGCCACAGCCCTTGCTAGTGTAGCTGAACTTCTGCCCTGTGGGTGAAAGAGGAGGGTGTCTGGCACAGGAAGCCCCACCCGACCCCCTTGGTCCCACCCCAGGACCGCCCCCTTCAGGGAACCTTGAAGCCAGTGGGGACACAGAGACAATCAGGAGACAAGCAGAAAAGAACAGGCCGCGCCGAGTCTGCAGTCCTTCCAGGCTCAAGCGATCCTCCTGCCTCATCTTCCAAGTAGCTGGGACCACAGGCACCTGCCACTACCCCCAGCTATTTAAAAAAAAAAAATTTATAGAGATGGGATCTCACTATGTTGCCCAGGCTGATCTTGAACTCTTGGGCTCAAGTGATCCCCTTGCCTCAGCCTCCCAAAATGCTGGAATTGTAAGCGTGGGCCTCTGCACCCGGCCTGGTCCGCAATTTAAAAACACACAGCCACCATTCCCTCTCCAGAAAGCACCCAGATGCCTTTGGGAGAACCAGCCTCCTCCATGGAGGAAAGCTTGGGATCTGCCTTCCCACCTGGGGAGGAGAGGGATCTGTGGAAAATCCTTCTGACGGACTTCCCCTCAGTGCCTGATCCATACTCAATAGTAGAAAAATTAAGAAATATACAAAGATAGCAGATACACGGAGACAGTTCCCCAAATAGCTGAGCGAATAGCGCAGAAGCAATATTGAAGACCTAATAGCTGAGACATTTCCAGAACTGATAAAGTGCGTCCAGCCACAGATCAAGCAGCCCAGAAAATTCCAGGCAGCATCAACAAATAAATAGCCCCACATGCACCCGTGAAAATGCAGAAGACCAAAGAAAAAAGTCCTGTCAACAGCCAGAGAAAAAGATCAGCCACCAGGGGTCGGTAGTGAGAAGGACAACTGTGGAAGCCAGGAGAGATGACAGCCCTGAGTTCCACAGGCAATGGAAGAAAGACTGTCAGACAGAAAGGTTGTCCCCAATATACTTGCACTAAAAGAAAATCTTTTTTTAATTTATTTATTTATTTATTTATTTTAGACAGGATCTCACTTTGGAGTGCAGTGGCGGGAACACAGCTTATTGTAGCCTTGACCCAGGCTCAAGCGATCCTCCCACCTCTGTCCCCGAAGTAGCTAGGATGACAGGTGTGCACCACCATGCCCAGCTAATTTTTGTATTTTCATAGAGGCGGGGTTTCTCCCTGTTGCCCCAGCTGGTCTTGAACTCCCTTGATCAAGGAATGCTGGGACTACAGGTGTGAGCCACAGCACCGGCCAAGAAGGTCTTTTAAAAAGTCTTTTCGGGCACGGTGGCTCATGCCTGTAATTCCAGCACTTTGGGAGGCCAAGGCGGGTGGATCACAAGGTCAGGAGTTCAAGACCAGCCTTGCCAAGACGGTGAAACCCCGTCTCTACTAAAATTAGCTGAGTGTGGTGGTGGGCACCTGTAATCCCGGCTACTCGGGAGGCTGAGGTAGGGAATTGCTTGAACCCGGAGGCAGAAGTTGCAGTGAGCCAAGATCATGCCACTGCACTCCAGCCTGGCGACAGAGACAGACTCTGTCTCAAACAAAAAAAAGAAAAAGAAAAGAAAAGTGATCTTTAGGCTGGACATGGTGCATGGTGGCTCTCACCTGTAATCCCAGCACTTTGGGAGGCCTAGGCAGAAGGATCGCTTGAGTCCAGGAGTTCCAGACCAGCCTGACCAACATGGAGAAACCTGTCTCTACTAAAAATACAAAAAAATTAGCCGGGCGTGGTGGCGCATGCGGGTAGCCCCAGCTACTCAGGACGCTGAGGCAGGAGAATCGCTTGAACCCAGGAGGCAGAGGTTGTGGTGAGCTGAGATTGTGCCATTGCGCTCCAGCCTGGGCAACAAGAGCAAAACTCCATCTCAAAAAAAAAAAAAAAAAGTGATCTTTAGGCCGGGCACAGTGGCTTGTGCCTGTAATCCCAGCACTTTGGGAGGCTGAGGTGGGTGAATCACTTAAGGTCAGGAGTTGAAGACCAGCCTGGCCAACATGGTGAAACCCCATCTTTACCAAAAATACAAAAATTAGCCGGGTGTGGTGGCACGCACCTGTGATCCCAGCTACTTGGGAGGCTGAAGCAGGAGAACCACTTGAACCCAGGAGGCGGAGGTTGCAGCGAGCCAAGATCTCGCCACTGCACGCCAGCCTGGGCAACAGAGCGAGACTACATCTCAGAAAAAAAAACAGTGATCTTTAGCCAGAAGGAAAATGGTCCCATTCAGAATCAGAGATACCTCAAGTGATGAAGCACAGATTCGTAGAAATGTGGTGAGTCTAAATGAACATCAATTCTATTAAAAAAGATAAAATAGTGGCCGGCGCGGTGGCTTACGTCTGTAATCCCAGCACTTTGGGAGGCCGAGGGGGGCGGATCACCTGAGGTCAGGAGTTCAAGACCAGCCTGACCAACATGGTGAAACTCCATCTCTACTAAAAATACAAAAAAAATTAGCAAGGTGTGGTGGCACATGCCTGTAATCCCAGCTACTAGGGAGGCTGAGATGGGAGAATCACTTGAACCCAGAAGGCCTCTCACGCCATTGCATTCCAGCCTGGGCGACAGAGCAAGACTCCGTCTCAAAAAAAAAAAAAAAGTTCTGTCTTGTGGGAGATTTAAGTTTTTGTGGTGAAATTAAAATTCATACCATAAATACAAACCTGGAAAGGAGTGAATACAATGAGGCGAACCCACTGGGCGGTTACACAGTGGCCCACAGCTGTAGTCCCCACTACTCAGAAGGCTGAGGCAGGAGGAC
The DNA here is from genome assembly GCF_000001405.40 of Homo sapiens. Classification (NCBI taxonomy): domain Eukaryota; kingdom Metazoa; phylum Chordata; class Mammalia; order Primates; family Hominidae; genus Homo; species Homo sapiens. The sequence goes on from NT_187573.1 coordinate 21,663, forward strand.
GGCTGGAGCCCAGGAGTTCAAGACCCACATGGGCAACATAGTGAGATGGAGCAGGGACCCCTCCTAGGTGCCTGCCAGGCTCTCCCAAGCTTGGAAATCAAGGAACACTCTTGAATCCCTTCAAGGGAAATTCCAGTCACCTTGCCAGCCTTGAAAGGTAAGTGAGCAGCCTGCCAGGAAGGCGACGGGAGCACGGGTCTCCCAAGCAGGCCACAGCCACAGGTGGTTTGCTTCCCTATAGAAACTAAAGCATAACATACATTCTCAAGTCTTTCAGAAACCCCCACCCGGTGGAAAATGCCGACTGCTATCACAGAGACCCAGATAAGGGGGAACTGAGGACTGAACTCTGGCCGTGTTCTCTGTCATGAATTTCTTCTTGAGGGGCCTGGAGGGAGTCACAGCTGTGAGCCACTAATGTGTGCCCCCATGCACACAGCACCCTTGGCATAACTAACTCCATCTTAGAGACTCCATTGTATATCTTACAGGGCACTTGGCCAACAAAGGTAAGATGTTTTGCTTAATAAACAAGTTAAAAATAAAGCCTGCATCCAAACAGATGAGGACGCAAGCAAGCGCACTCTTCAGATGTCACTTCTCACGGGAGGCCTCTGTGATTGCAGAAGGAAAGGCCCCAGCAGAACTCACCATCTGCCGCCTGAGGCTCCACCACCTCGAAGACATCCTTGCAAGATCCACAGACTGGCCCAGACCAGGAGGTTTCTGTCTTCTTCTTGTGTCTTCTTCACTCTCCTGGACTGGTTCGTGAACCCTTTCTCCTATCTCTGTTTCCTCTGGATGTTAAGTGCTACTTTCTTTGTTGTGGAACGTTAACCTGTAACATGTATATACTGATTAAGTACACTATTACGTTGTCGTGTGCAATATTGGCTGACATGTGCAGTGGCTTGAGCCCGTGTGACCGCAGCTCTCACTACTGAGGGAAAGGAGCACTAAGCAGCATGCCTCCTTGGGAACGCCGTGTGGCTCGTGGCTTTAGGGATTGAAATAGCCTCAATAAAATTCTGACATTGTGAAAGACACAGGCATGCTTGGATGTGATTATCTCTAACTTTGCACTGCTCATGACACCCCATGTATTGGTTAATGATTTTGCCTGCAACTTCTGCTTTCCTGAAATGTACCCATACCCCTAAAAACCCCAGCTTGTAAGCCACTGGGGAGTTTGGGTCTTAAGCGTGAGCTGTCCGTTCTCCTTGCTTGGTACCGTGCAATAAATATCATCTTTCCCCTGCTGCAAATTGCAACATCAGTGTTTGACTTTACTGCCCTGGGTGAGAAGAGCCCAGCTCGGTTCAGTAACTGTAGAAGACTGTAAGAGGCGTCCAAACTGGAGTGACCCCATCGTGAATAAAAGCTAAACAAAGCCACACCTGCTGGGTGACATTCCCAGGGGTTGGGCATTGTGTGTCACAAGATGCCTGTGGTTGAGGGAACGAGTTAATAATGCTAACTAATTAATCAGACGCAGAACTTAAGGAAATGTCCCAACATTTTAAGAACAAAAAGCATTCTAAGTTGGAGAATAAGATTTGCTTTAAAAATAATGGTATAGGAGTCAGGTATGGTGGCTCACACCTGTAATCCCAGCACTTTGGGAGGCCAAGGTGGACAGATAACTTGAGGTCAGGAGTTCGAGACCAGCCTGGCCAACATGGTCAAGATACCTCCAAATCTTTATTTATGTATTTATTTATTTATTTTGGAGACAGGGTCTCATTCTCACTCTGTTGCCCAGGCTTTTTTTTTTTTTTTTTTGAGACGGAGTCTCACTCTGTCGCCCAGGCTGGAGTGCAGTGGCACAATCTCGGCTCACTGCAACCTCCGCCGCCCACGTTCAAGCGATTCTTCTGCCTCAGCCTCCCGAGTAGCTGGGATTACAGGCGCCTGCCACCGCACCTGGCTAATTTTTGTATTTTTAGTAGAGACGGCGTTTCACCATCTTGGCCAGGCTGGTCTTGAACTCTTGACCTCGGGTGATCCGCCTGCCTCGGCCTCCCAAAGTGCTGGGATTACAGGTATGAGCCACCGTGCCTGGCCTTAACTCTTCTATAAATAGATTACCAACAGACGAAAGAAAATTTAAGGCATAAAGCATGCAGTTAAAAGGCTTAATTCAAAATGACAAAAAATACTGTTAACCCAAAGATGATAATTCTAAATTTTTTAACATCCATTAAATGGTCAGAAAATAAATAAAACTAAAGTTGAGAGAACTAAAAAGAGAAAGAATCATACTCTGAGGCCCTGTAACACCCCTTGTAATAGCAGATGAAAAATCAACAAAGATAGAGAGTTAAAACAGGATAAATAGGCCGGTCACGGTGGCTCATGCCTGTAATCCCAGAACTTTGGGAGGCCGAGGCGGGCGGATCATGAGATCAGGAGTTTGAGACCAGCGTGGCCAACATAGTGAAAACCCGTCTCTACTAAAAATACAAAAAAGATTTAGCCAGGCATGGTGGTGTGCGCCTGTAGTCCCAGTTACTCAGGAGACTGAGGCAGGAGAATCGCTTGAACCCAGGAGGCAGAGGTTGTGGTGAGCCAAGGTCGCGCCACTGCACTCCAGCCTGGGCAACAGAGCAAGATACATCTCAAAAAAAAAAAAAAAAAAAAAAACCAGGATGAACGAAAGAAATTAATGGAGGCTGATCATGTCAGCTCACACCTGCAATCCCAGCACTTTGGGAGGCAGAGGTAGGAGGGCTGCTTGAGCACAGGACAACATAGGAGGACCCTGACTTTTTTTTTTTTTCTTTTTTTTTGAGACAGAGTCTTGTTCTGTCACCAGGCTGGAGTGCAGTAGCACGATCTTGGCTCACCGCAATCTCCGCCTTGCAGGTTTAAGTGATTCTCCTACCTCAGCCTCCCGAGTAGCTGGGATTATAGGCACGTGCCACCATGCCAAGCTAATTTTTGCATTTTTAGTAGAGATGGGGGTTTCACCATATTGGCCAGACTGGTCTCAATCTCTTGACCTCGTGATCCACCCACCTCGGCCTCCCAAAGTGCTGGGATTAAAGGCATGAGCCACTGCACTCAGCAACCCTGTCTCTTTAGAGCAAATTTTAAAGCCGGGCGCAGTGGCTCACGCCTGTAATCCCAGCACTTAGGGAGGCCAAGGTGGATGGATCACCTGAGATCAGGAGTTTGAGACCAGCCTGGCCAACATGGTGAAACCCCATCTCTACTAAAAATACAAAAATTAGCCGGGTGTGGTGGCGCACCCCTGTAATCCCAGCTACTCAGGAGGCTGAGGTGGGAGAATTGCTTGAACCCGGGAGGCAGAGGCTGCAGTGAGCCGAGATCGCGCCACTGCTCTCCAGCCTAGGCAACAGAGCAAGACCCCGTCTCAAAGCCAAAAAAAAAAAAATTTTTCAATTTAAAAATTTTTAAAAATAAAACAAATTTTAAAATTAAAAAAAGAAAGGTAACCGACATAGAAAACTGATCACAGCAATTCCAGAACACACACACTTTTCAAGTACACACAAACATCTACAACTATGGATCACATAATGAGCCATGAAAAAGTCTCCACAAATTAATTGAAATCATACAGAGTGGCTTCTCTAATTACAGTTAAATTAGACTAGAAATTATTACCCAAAACAAGAAAATGCTCCTCTGTTTGGAAATGAACAAGTATAGTTATAAATAACGTATATGTCACAGAAGAAATCAAAAGGAAAATAGGATTTCGCTCTGTTGCCGAATGCAACAGGAATGCAGTGGGTCCAATCAAAGCTCACTGCAGCCCTGACCTCCTGGGCTCAAGTGATCCTCCCGCCTCAACCTCCTAAGTAGCTGAGACCACAGGCACGCACCACCACATCTTGCTAGTTTTTAATTTTTTTTTTGAGACGGAGTTTTGCTCTTGTTGTCCAGGCTAGAGTGCAGTGGCACCATCTCGGCTCTGCAACCTCTACCTTCAGGTTCCAGCGATTCTCCTGTCTCAGCCTCCCAAGTAGCTGGGACAACAGGCATGCACTACCACACCTGGCTAATTTTTGTATATTTAGTAGAGACGGGGTTTCACCATGTTGGCCATGGTTGGTCTCGAACTCCTGACCTCAGGTGATCCGCCCTCCTCAGCCTCCCAAAGTGCTGGGATTGCAGGCATGAGCCACCACGCCCAGCCATAACTGCATGCTTTGAGAGAACTGTATCCACTGTTAGGTCTCAGAAACCAATACCCCAAAATATGGCACTTTGACATGCTGAAGAAACTTCAAGAACTTTCTGTCCTCCCCCACAACCCACAGACTCTCCCAAAGTTAGGATGGAGTTCTCTGAAGTTCCTTTGTCTGCCTAAAGTCTGGACTCACCAAGAACAATTGTGTTTTCTTCCCCCTACCCCCAGACAAAGAATGTCACCATACCTGAACAAACCCTTTCACAAGATAATAATGTCTGTCCCTCAGGCCCATTCACATTCCAAAGAGAACTATCTACAAGTTAATCTCCGCTCCCTGCTCCACTGCCCTCAGAATCCTCTTCTCCCCTCATGGCCTGTGTGGCCAGGATGGTCCCTAAGCGTCTGAACCCCGCTGCAGGGTGCGGGATATCGCTCTGCGTTTTCCCCTGTGGACACATTAATACATCTCTGCGCCTTTTCTCCAGTTAATCTGCCTTTTCTGAGTCGCGTTTTCATGGAAATGTCAGGGGTTAAAAGGGAAGATTTCCCACTGGCCCTTACCTTCATACATTAAAAACACATTCAGGCTAGGCACGGTGGCTCATGCCTGTAATGCCAGCACTTTGGGAGGCCAAGGCCGGAGGTCAGGAGTTGGAGACCAGCCTGGCCAACAGGGTGAAACCCTGTCTCTACTAAAAATACAAAAATTAGCTGGGCCTAGTGGCACACACCTGTGATCCCGGCTACTTGGGAGGCTGAGACAGGAGAATCGCTGGAACCCGGGAGGGCAGCTGGACGGGAGGGCAGCTGGAACCCGGGAGGTTGCAGTGAGCCGAGATCGCGCCATTGCACTCCAGCCTGGGTGACAAGAGAGAGACTCCATCTCAAAAAAAAAAAAAGATTCAACATTAATGAATGAAGCATTCATCACAAGAAATTACAGGAAGAACAGCAAATGGAATCCAAAAAAACGGAAGAAAGAAACGAATAAAAGTGACATCAGAAATTAATAATATGGAAATTATGTACATATTAGGATACACAAGTTAGTTATTTCTTTGGATAAACTAAAAACTTTGATAACTCTTGCTTTTTTTTTTTTTTTTTTTTTTTTTTGAGACAGGGTCTCACTCTGTTGCCAGGGCTGGAGTGCAGTGGTGCAATCTCAGCTGACTGCAACCTCCGCCTCCCAGGTTCAAGCAATTCTTGTGTTTCAGCCTCCCAAGTAGCTGGGATTACAGGCTTGTGCACCATGCCCGGCTAATATTTGTTATTTTTTGTAGAGATGAGGTTTCACCATGTTGGCCAGGCTGGTCTCAAACTCCTGACCTAAAATTATCCACCTGCCTCAACCTCCCAAAGTGCTGGAATTACAGGTGTGAGCCACCACGCCCAGCCTTAAAAATGTGGATAATTCTTGTGGGAGACCAGTCAAGAAAAGAAGAGGAGAAAAACAGCCATAATAGCAATGGGGAAAAAATCAGGATCAACAGAGTCTTCAGCCGGGCGCAGTGGCTCACACCTGTAATCCCAACACTTTGGGAAGCCGAGGCAGGTGGATCCCTTGAGCCCAAGGGAGAAATAGCGAAGGGGGACACGTCACACTTTCAAACCATCAGATCTCCTGAGAACTCACTCACTATCACCAGAACAGCAAGGGGGAGGTCTGACCCCACGATCCAATCACCTCCCACGTGGCCCCTCCGCCAATTCCACATGAGATCTGGGCGGGGACACAAATCCAAACCATCTCATCCTGTAACTTCTTTCTCCCTAAAGGGTATAAAATCGAGCTGTACCCCGGCCACCTTGGGCACATGTTCCCCGAACCTCCTGAGTCTCTGTCATGTGAGGTCATGGTCCTCACATTTGGCTCAGAATAAACCTCTTCAAATATTTTAGAGTTTGGCTTTCTTTCATCAACACATCCCATCCTGTAAAACGCAGAGTAAGCCGGAGAGAATGGCTCACACCTGTAATCTCAACACTTTGGGAGACCAAGATGGGAGGATCATTTGAGGCCAGGAGTTCAAGAGACCAGCTTGGCCAACAAAGCAAGACCTCATCTCTAAAAAAAAAATAAGTAAATAAAAACAAATGTGAGTGACTTCACTCTTCTCTCCCAGAGCCTCCAGTTGTCACTTTTCTGAGTTTCTTCAGGGTCTCTTGAACTGTACTCAGGGTGTCAAGAGGTACAGTTGGGAAGGATGGGGGCCTCTAATGAGGGGGTTAAGAGCATCATTCTGGAGGAGACATGAGGGAGGCAGCAGAGAGGGGCTGTGGTGTGGCCTTCACACACTGCAACTCCTGGAGGTCGGGCAGGGGCAGGATGTCCAGACAGTGGACGCATGAGTGGGGAAGCCTTCAGCCACCCTGACTCCACCTAGGAGGTGCCCCAAGGCAGAACCAGCAGCTGAGCCTGGCCAGCCCCGGCAGCGATGAGAGACAGTAGGTTTTGGGGTGACCAACAGGGAGCCCCAGCAGGAGCCCAGCAGGAGAGAGAAGCTGGATATTGATCCTGCTGGCCCCTCCTGCAGTCCGCAGGACTGTCCACAGCCCTCGCTCCTCTTAAGCAGCTCACCTGCCTTGGTGGCCCCTCCCCTCCTGGCCCCTCCTTTTGGGCCTGGGTTGGGGGTGGCAGGGGTCCTGTCCCTGCACCCGGAGTGGAGTGGGATATGGCACTGGAATGTTTCTAGGCAGCCCACTCCTGTAAGAGGGCCTGGGGCTGGGCCCAGTAGTTCACACCTGTAATCGCAGCACTTTGGGAGGCTGAGGCAGGAGGATCGCTTGAGCCTCGGAGTTCGAGAGCAGCCTGGGCAACATAGAGACCCCACTTCTACTTGAGAGACACACAGAGAGAGAGAGAGGGAGGGAGGGAGAGAGGGAGGGAGGGAGAGAGAGAGGGAGGGAGGGAGAGAGAGAGGGAGAGAGGGAGGGAGGGAGAGAGAGAGAGAGAGAGAGAGAGAGAGAGAGAGAGAGAGAGAGAGAGAGAGAGAGAGAGAGAGAGAGAGAGAGAGAGGGAGAGAGAGAGAGAGGGAGGGAGGGAGGGAGGGAGAGAGAGAGGCTTCTGGTAAATGCTCCTATTTTGCAAACTCTCTTCCTATTTTGTGATTAGGATGCTCCATCAGTTTCTGCCACCAGCTTGCTGGAGACGCTGCGTGTCCCTGACTCCTCTCAAAGGGTGAAAAGCTCAGTCGCACCCGAGACCTGCTCCTCAGGCAGAGGATGAACTGAGTCCCCGCCCCACCGCCCGTCTGGCCTCTGTGAGAGTGGCGTGCAGGCTGACCCTGGAAGCAGAGGGACATTCGAACGGGCCGGCGGCCTTCTCCCCGCTAGGCTGGGCTCCGGGGTGGGCGGAGAGTGGCCGCCACAGGCCATCAGCGTCCGGGGTTCTGGAAGCAGGGAGGGCAGAGGCTGGCCCAGCCTATGGGAGACCCTGCAGAGGCGTGGCCTCCAGGCTAATCCTACCCCAGCTGCCCCAGGGCGGGATTTCTTTTCTTTTTTCCTTTAATCTCTTTATCTACAGGCGCCGAGGCTTAATGAGCTCCAGATGTCTCAACATACCAGGAGAGGTTTAGGATCCCCTGCCAAATACAAGGGAGATAAGAACGCACCAGACTTGCACAAACCAGAGCTGGTGACCCCCAGTTCCCTTTAAATCAGCGACATGTCATTACAAGGCGGAAGTCCTGCCCGAGAGGACAGTCCCCAGGCCTTGCTAAGCATGCGTGGTATCAAGAGGTGCATTGAGGCGCTCCTGCAGCCTCCTCCCGGCACGGGACTCCTCACAACCCCCAGCCTCAGCTTCCCTGACAGGGCAGGGGCTCACTCTTCTCCACTCCGGGCCAGGAACGCAGCCTGCTTGCCTTTTGTCCAATTGGGTGCTCTTTCTTTGCGACTGATACAAAGTGGGAACAAACTCCGCTTCCGGTGATGCCCGGGCCCCAGGAGGCTGGGGGAGAAGTGCACGCTGCCCAGCCTTCAACCTGAACTGCCCCCAGCACTTCCGAGCCCCGACCCCTGCAGCTGTGAGGTGAGGTGGGGAGGGGGCGGCCTGCGGGGAGGGGGCTGCCTGCGGGGAGGGGGCTGCCTGCAGGGCGGGCCGTGTGGGTCCCCCGAGCGTGGGGGACCAGTGACGTCAGGCAACATTTCTCCAAAGGCTCCCTCACCTTGTCCTTTGGCATCTGGGGTGCTCAGAGGAAGGGGGAAGCCGGGAGGGTGTGGAGAGGGTCACTGGAGAGGGGAAAGGCCAGAGTGATCCCCTTGGGGACGAGGCAGAGGAAAAGCTGTGGAGACCTAAAGAGAAGAGGTGGGGTGCGCCTGGGCCTCTCAAGTTTGTTTCCCAGAACCAGGGAAGGTTACAGTGGAAGGGAGGACCCTGTGGGGAAGAAGCTTCCAGAGACCTTCTGGAGAGGTGAGCCAAAGGCGAGCCATGGCCAGAAACCCCAGGCCTGCTGCAGTGGAGAGTCAGTGCTGCAGGAGGCTTGGGAATCAGGGCTGCCCTCCTTGGGCTGAACCCTCTATCTAGGGGACAATGGCCCTGGGCAAAAGCACTGCTTTCTGGGCCCCCTGGAGGGTAGGGCATGACACTGTGGTGCTAGAGGCAGGGGGGACATGAGGAGGTAGACGAATGTCCTGAGTCACCAGGTACAACCACTGCACCCCATTGTGACTGCCCCTGTGTCCGACACAGATTTGGGGGGTCTGGAATGTCCCTTGAGCTCCTTAGGCACTCATGAATTTCTAGTTGAGCAAATAAAATGTCCAAGATGCCCAGTTTGATCTGAATCTCAGATAAACAACAAATAGTCATTTTTACCAATGTTTGGGACATACTTATGCTAAAAATTGTTTATCTGAAATTCATATTTAATTGGGCATCTTACCCCATTGACCCTAATTAGCAAATCACATCCAGGAGTACAGGGCATGGCTGGGTGGTGGCTGTCACACTGTGCAGTCAGAGGGACCAGGACGTCTTGGATGCAGGCGTCTGGCCAGCGTGGAAGGCCAGGACCTGGTCACGAGATGTGGCTCCCGGCATGGCAGGTCAAAGACTGCTGGTCGTCTGAGCCCAGCCCTGACTCCAGGCTGAGATGGCCATTCACCCAGACCTTGAGCCCTGCCCTGACTCCAGGCTGAGACGGCCGTCCACCCAGACCATTCTGAGCCCTGCCCTGACCCCAGGCTGAGATGGTCATCTATCGGGGGAAATTCACCCCCGATATTTCATGTAGGTTCTTTTCTATTTTCCCTAAGTGTCGGCCAGTCTGAGAAATAAAGGGACAGAGTACAAAAGAGAGAAATTTCAAAGCTGGGCGTCCGGGGGAGACATCACATGTCGGCAGGTTCCGTGATGCCCCCTGAGCCGTAAAACCAGCAAATTTTTATTAGTGATTTTCAGAAGGGGAGGGAGTGTACAAATAGGATGTGGGTCACAGAGATCACATGCTTCACAAGGTAATAAGATATCACAAGGCAAACGGAGGCAGGGCGAGATCACAGGACCACGGGACCGGGGCGAAATTAAAATTGCTAATGAAGTTTTGGGCACACATTGTCATTGATAACATCTTATCAGGAGACAGGGTTTGAGAGCAGACAACCAGTCTGACCAAAATTTATTAGGCGGGAATTTCCTCATCCTAATAAGCCTGGGAGCACTGCGGGAGACTGGGGCTTATTTCATCCCTTATCTACAACTGTAAAAGGCAGCCGTCCCCAAAGCAGACATTTCAGAGGCCTCCCCTTAGGGATACATTCTCTTTCTCAGGGATGTTCCTTGCTGAGAAAAAGAATTCAGCGATATTTCTCCTATTTGCTTTTGAAAGAAGAGAAATATGGCTCTGTTTCACCTGGCTCACAGGCAACCAGAGTTTAAGGTGATCTCTCTTGTTCCCTGAACGTTGCTGTTACCCTGTTCTTTTTTCAAGGTACCCAGATTTCATATTGTTCAAACACACATGCTCTGCAAACAATTTGTGCAGTTAACACAATCATCACAGGGTCCTGAGGCAATATACATCCTCCTCAGCTTACGAAGATGATGGGATTAAAAGATTAAAGACAGGCATAGGAAATCACAAGGGTATTGATTGGGGAAGTGATAAGTGTCCATGAAATCTTCACAATTTATGTTCAGAGATTGCAGTAAAGACAGGCATAAGAAATTATAAAAGTATTAATTTGGGGAACTAATAAATGTCCATGAAATCTTCACAATTTATGTTCTTCTTCCATGGCTTCAGCCGGTCCCTCTGTTTGGGGTCCCTGACAATAGCCGTCCACCCAGACTGTTCTGAGCCCAGCCCTGACTCCAGGCTGAGACGGCCGTCCACCCAGGGCGTTCTCAGCCCAGCCCTGACTCCAGGCTGAGACGGCCGTCCACCCAGGGCGTTCTCAGCCCAGCCCTGACTCCAGGCTGAGACGGCCGTCCACCCAGGGCGTTCTCAGCCCAGCCCTGACTCCAGGCTGAGACGGCCGTCCACCCAGGGCGTTCTCAGCCCAGCCCTGACTCCAGGCTGAGACGGCCGTCCACCCAGGGCGTTCTCAGCCCAGCCCTGACTCCAGGCTGAGACGACCGTCCACCCAGGGCGTTCTCAGCCCAGCCCTGACTCCAGGCTGAGATGACCGTCCACCCAGACCATTCTGAGCCCAGCCCTGACTTTCTGTCCAGAGTGCAGTCCTGAAGGAGCCCCTTTCTCCCACCACCAGGGGAGACCAGTCTAACCCCTGACACGGGGCATCATGGGAGCCCTAGCCAGGGCACAGAAATGACAGGCCTGGCCCACACCACAGGATGGCTGGTGGCCGCAGGAGCTCTGCCTCTTGGTGACCATCCAGAGGCTCTCTGACAACCCTACTCAGATGTTCCCTGGAGCCACATGGCAAGAGTTCTGCCAGAAGAGCCATGAGCCTGGCACTCTGTGGGTTCTGGTCCCTGGGGGGGCACCCGTGCCCCAGGAGCACCTCCCCAAGGCCATGGTGCCAGCAGGATGTTGCAGAGGCCTGAGGTCAGAGTGGCAGGTGGGCGGCCTCAGGAATGGTGAGGAAGAAGCCGAGTGCTGACGCTGAGTGGGTCAGCAAAGGGCTGTTTGTTGACCTTGAGAGGGAGGCCCTCATCCTGTGTGGGAGGCCAGCAGGGCCCCCTGGGACCACGTTCCCTCCTTGCTTGGATTCAGGTAGCCCAGAGAGCTGAGGGGTTGGCCCTGGCTCCTCGGCAAGTTAGTGGCAAGCTGGATGGAGCTGGGGACTCCCGCCCTGGGCCACGGTTTCTCTATGACCCTAGGTCCCAAGCAGCCAGTGGTGGGGCCTGGTCTCTGAGGCCCAGCTCTGAAAAAAGTGGTGTTGTTGGGGGGCATGGGCTGGAGGGCCTGGGCCCAGAGGACAAGGAGTTTAAGCAGGGATATGTTCCCTGACAGGGAAGCCCCGACCTCTGCCCTGGCCACATCCTTCCCCTGATCTCATGGCTGAAAAGCCACACCAGAATTCCTGCAATTCAGTGAGGCAGCTCTTCAAAACCAAGCAGCTGGTGACGCACAGGGACAGAGGGTAGGCCTGCGGGGGAGAGGGCGGGAAAGGCCCTCACAGCAGGGCCCAGAGGAAGACTGACCCCAGGCTGAGCAGGAGCTGTACGCACAGGGCCCAGGGGCTGCTGGCTGCCAGGACCACCGCATTGCAGAGGTCTCCCTTGCAGCAAGAGATCTGGGAGTCCACAACGGCACTTGTAAGTTTCAGCAGGGGGAATCCGACGTCCTTCTGGCAGGAGAGGAGGGAGAGCTTGTTCTCCCCTCTCACTTTACCTGCGAGAGAGCGGGGTGGGGGATGAGCAGGGCCCTGCCCCGGGGCCTCAGGGGCTTTCTGCAGGGAGGCTCCGCACCCCAACATCTGCTGGCTGGGAGCCTGAACATCAAAGCCATCAGGACCAAGGCCATCGGAGCCCTTTCACTTAGGGGACGCTGAGGCCACCCAGGGAACCAGGGTTGTGGCAGAAAGGGCAGCAGGGTTTGAGTTCTTTCCCCAGGCAGCCCTCACCCTGCCCCGGCCTTGGGACCCCCGAAGCGGGAGCTGGGTGGGCTGTGGAGGGGAGCTGGGTGCTGCTTTTGGGAAACAGCTGCGGGCTCCAGGCTGGCTTTTTTTTTTTTAAATATCTTTTTGAGATGGAGTTTTGCTCTTGTGGCCCAGGCTGGAGTGCAATGGGGCGATCTCTGCTCACCACAACCTCCACCTCCTGGGTTCAAGCGATTCTCCTGCCTCAGCCTCCCCAGTAGCTGGGATTACAGGCATGCCCCACCAGGCCCGGCTAATTTTGTATTTTTAATAGATACAGGGTTTCTCCATGTTGGTCAGGCTGGTCTCCAACTCCCGACCTCAGGTGATCCCCCCGCCTTGGCCTCCCAAAGTGCTGGGACTACAGTCATGAGCCACCGTGCCCGGCCAGGGCAGGCCTTTTCCTGCCTCACCTCACTGAAGGGTGTGGCCTGGGGACAGATGCAGCTCCGAGAGCTGAGGGTGCTGAGGGTGCTGAGGGTGCTGAGGGCCTGGGCAGGCTGCAGCCCCTCCCCAGTCCTCCCATGGCCTGGCTGATATCCCACCATTCCAGAGTCATTCCTTTAGCTTGAAGCTAACTGTCTCCAGGTTCTTCCAGGCAGGTAACTCACTGAATGCTCACAGCCTGCGCCTCTCCTGCATGGAGCTGGTGAGACCCGCGGCATGAAGTGGGGACAAGGGGCAGAGGTCACTGGGGTCCCCAGAGTAGCTACAGCAGCTGGCGTTGGGAGGCTACTGGGAAGTTGGTGTGGGCCCTGCTGCTGGGCACTGGGAGGGGCTGGGATGGTTTCCACAGTAATGAGGGCCCTGTGGGCGCCCCCTGCTCTAGAACCCGGAACATCCCCTGTCCCTGCAGACCCACAACCCTTAGGCTCAGTTTGGTGGCCCAGGCTCCTCAGCCCTGCCGCTCTTCCACCCTTCCCTGCACAGGTCCTGCCCGCCATGCCCACCCCACCCCACCCCCCACCTCAGGAGCCACAGACCGGCCCCCAAAGTGCTGAGGGCTTGTAGGGGGACCTTGGTCCATCATGCAGCTATCTAAGAAGTGCCCCTCCCTCCCCAGAACCTGCCCTCTGCCCTGGCACCCCAGGGACTCACTGCCAAAGACGCTCACTTTCTGGGAGACACAGACCCCATCCAGGAAGGGGCACGAGACCACGCTGCAGGAGGCCCCTTCCAAGACCGCCAAGCATCTGTAGCAGCGCAGACCCTGAGCTGGGAGAGAGGGCAAGGTGGGTGACTGCAGCACATGCCAGGACATACACCAATGCCCTGGTGAGAGTCCCATGCCCACAAGGGCACCCACTCTCACCACCACCCTTGTCCCAACCTGCCACCTGGACCTTTGCAATAGCCCCACACACCTGCCTGCAACTGGCAGCCTGCAACTGGTGGCCTGCAACCCTCCAACACCACCTCTTTGTCCAGAGGCACCAGCAGCCACTGCCCAATGCCAAAGGCATACACGTGCCCAGGACTCAGTGAGTCCTCGGAAGTGAGCACAGCCAGCACGCGCGGTAACAAGCACAGAGCAGGCACCAAACACACCAGTCACCTCTGCCACCGGAACACCGAAGCCCGCCACCCCCAGCAGGCACGCCTTCCGAGCACACCCACCTGCAACTAGTTCCAGCACACACGGGGCAGCAGGAGTGCGCTGGAACAAAGTCCTCTAAAGGCCCCTCTGCTTCTCACCTCTCTCCATGCTCAGCAGGGCCACCAGCAGGACCAGGGACAAGGTCTTCATGGCCTGGAGACTGCTCATTCCAGGGTGCTAGTGCACAGACAAACTTCAGCGAATCAGAGCAGCCCTCGGACTCCTCACCCTCCTGGGGATCGAATGAGTCCTGCACAGCAGCAAAGCCAGAACATCCGGCTCTCCATCTCCCACCCTGTCCTCAGCACAGTCACCCAAAGGAGAACTGTCTGCCTCACGCCCCCACCCCAGTCCCCATTCCTCCCTCCCATCCTTCCCTGCAATTCTCACCCAGAGCCCCATGGCTGTACTGCACCTCCTCTCCTTAGCGCCCCCACCCAGGACCCTCCCAGGCCTGGTCCACCCCTCCTCACTTTCCTCCCTCTGGCTGATTCTCAGCCACTTGCCCTGCAGGCTTGCCAGAGAGAGGAAGGTGGGGCAGGGAGAGGCCCTGCCCTCAGCGGCTCCTCCCCTCAGGCTCTTCCTGACTGGCCCAGAACAAGGGTGGGTTCCTGAATTTCCATTTCACAGGAACTTGCTACTGGAGCAATAGGTGACTCCAGGCCAATTTACTCATTTTTTTTTTTCTTTTGAGCTGGAGTCTCACTGTTACCCAAGCTGGAGTACAGTGGCACAGTCTTGGCTCACTGCAACCTCTGCTTCCCAGGTTCAAGCAATTCTCCTGCCTCAGCCTCCCGAGTAGCTGTGACTACAGGTGCCCACCACCACACCCAGTTAATTTTTGTATATTAGTAGAGATGGGGTTTCACCATGTTGGCCAGGCTGGTCTCGAACTCCTGACCTCAAGTGATCCTCTCACCTTGGCCTCCCAAAGTGCTACGATTACAAGTGTCAGCTACCACGCCCAGCCCAATTTACTCTTTATACTAGAATTGGCAGCAGGTGGGCCTGGTGGCTCACATCTGTAATCTCATCACTTTGGGAGGCCAAGGCAGGAAGATAGCTTGAGGCCAGGAGTGAAACCACTTTTGCAAGATTATAACAATGAGAGGAGGCCAGGCACGGTGGCTCACGCCTGTGATCCCAGCACTTTGGGAGGCTGAAGTGGGCGGATCACAAGGTCAGGAGATCGAGACCATCCTGCCTAACATAGTGAAACCCCATCTTTACTAAAACTACAAAAAAATTAGCAGGGCGTGGTGGCAGGTGCCTGTAGTCCCAGCTACTTGGGAGGCTAAGGCAGGAGAATGGCATGAACCCGGGAGGCAGAGCTTGCAGTGAGATGAGATTGCGCCACTACACTCCAGCTTGGGTGACAGAGTGAGACTCCAGCTCAAAAAAAAAAAAAAAAAATGAGAGGAATCTAACATAACTGACTCCATCTTGCTTTCTAATCTCACAAGCTAACTTGCCTTTGCTCAGGTGGCATAGGCCAAGCTAACTATGGGAGGAATTTAGTTCATAGTTTAGAGTAAGGATGGGCCAGGCATGGTGGCTTACACCTCTAATACCTTTGGGAGACCGAGGCAGGTGAATCACCTGAGGTCAGGAGTTCGAGATCGGCCTGGTCAACATGACGAAACCCTGTCTCTACTGAAAAAAAATAAAAATTAGCTGGCGTGGTGGCGGGCACCTGTAATCCCAGCTACTCAGGAGGCTGAGGCAGGAGAATCACTTTAACCCGAGATGTGGAGGTTGCAGTGAGCCGTTATTGTGCCATTGTACTCCAGCCTGGGTGACAAGAGCGAAACTCCATCTCAAAACAAAAATAAATGAATACAAATAAAAAATAAAGTAAGGATGATAATAGTGTCTTCCCAAAACTACTCCACTCCTTGAGACCAAAGCCGCCTTTGTAAAACTAACGAAAGACCACAAGGTTAGCATTATGGTAGGGGCTTGATTTTTTTTTTTTAAGATGGAGTCTTGCTCTGTTACCCAGGCTGGAGTGCAATGGTGCCATCTCAGCTCACTGCAACCTCTGCCTCCCGGGTTCAAGTGATTCTCCTGCCTCAGCCTCCGGAGTAGCTGGGATTACAGGCGCCTGCCACCACGCCCGGCTTTTTTTTTTCTTTTGTATTTTTAGTAGAGACGGGGTTTTACCATGTTGGCCAGTCTCAAACTCCTGAGCTCAGGTGATCTGCCTGCCTCGGCCTCCCAAAGTGCTGGGATTACAGGCATGAGAGGCACGGCGCCTGGCCCAGGGGCTTGACTTCTGCTCATGAGCCAGGATAGGTAGTCAAGGAAGTGACCATATCCTTGGGATGCAGCCACCGTGGCCACTGTACAGTCAACACAGTAAGCCTTTGCATTTGCGCTGTGGTCCAGCTCATCCAAGCAAAGCTAGCTCCAGGAGAGAAATCCCCCCTCCCAACTACAGAGCAGGCATATTTGATTTTCCCTGTCCTCAGACTGACCCTTTGCTCATTATAATAGAAAACACACCCCTGGTGGAGATTTAAGATGCTAATGACACATGCGACGTATGAGCAAGCAGGTGCAGCTACTGCACGTGTGCACCCAGAGGACCCCCCCAGAACATGCTTCCTAGCAACACCTCTGCCCACCCGCTGTGAGTAATCATGGAAGACTCCCATGGAGGAGCCTCCCTGGTGCCAGTCTCTGCTGTCTCGCCCTTACAAGCAGCCGGCCCTGAATCCTCTCTCTCAGGGCGTCCTATCTCTTCTGCATCAAACTTTCAAAATGTTCTTTCTCCTTTGCAATACATTGCTCTGTGCTGCATCTCCTTGGCTGTGTGTCTCTTGTTTAAATTCTTTTAAACTAAGAAGACAAGAATGGAGGCCTCACAGCAGCCGCCAACGTTTCTGGTGCTGTGACTCGGATGGAGGTTCGTCTGCGTCATTCACTCCAGTTTCCCTTCCCCGCAGCGGGTACCGTGGCAGTGCCAGGCTGCCTGGTTGGCTGCCGCTGGTTTGCCCAGGGCTGTTTCAGTCAAGCTCCGGGGAAGGTTTCTAAGTTGCCTGGACCGTTTCTGTGGATATATGTGCTGCTCTCCTCTGGCTGCTGCCTCTGCACCACTCATCATTATCCAACCACATCGGTTGCTCTCAACATTCAGTATTTGGGCTGTTTCGCTGCTTGGTTTCACGCCTTTCTGGCCTCGTTTCAGACACAGCCCGTTTGCTGTCCCTCTGGTAGCACTCGGCCGCCACCTCGTGGCCATTGTGATTTATTGTCTGATCGGGTTTTCTGTTTTACAAAATTTTCTTTTTTTTTTTTTTTTTTTTGAGACAGAGTCTCTTTTGCCCAGGCTGGAGTGCCATGACACCACCTCAGCTCACTGCAACCTCCACCTCCTGGTTCAAGCGATTCTCCCGCCTCAGCCTCCTGGGTTGCTGGGACTACAGGGGTCTGCCACCACGCCCGGCTAATTTTTTGTACTTTTAGTAGAGATGGGGGTTTCACCATGTTGGCCAGGCTGGTCTCGAACTGCTGACCTCAAGTGATCCATCCACCTTGGCCTCCCTAAGTGTTGGGATTACAGGTGTGAGCCACCGTGCCTGGCCGAAATCTGTTTTGAGGGACACATTAAGAGTGCGCTGTCCCTCCAGACCTTATGCATTTTCCACCTCCTTCAGATGGTCCTTCAACTGGCGTTCTTTGCTGAACAAAAGATGCTCAGTCATGTATCTGCCAGGCTGTGGGGACTGCATCGGGTATTCCAGGCACTGTAATCGGGCATCACCAATGGCCAACCAGTGAGGCAGGGAAAGGCTCGCTGATGAGACGTTGGGCCCCCCAGCCAGCAGCGGGGGCCACCTCAGTCGGGCCTGGAGACTTCCAGCGCCCGTGAGACCCAGGACGGTGTATGCCAAATGCCCGTGACCTCCTAGCGCCCTGATTTCATGGGGGTTCAAGGGGATGTCCCACACCCTGTCATGGTCCAGCTTGGCTCGGGGACACCTGTGACCTCCTGGACTTTGGTATCTGTTTTTGTCATTGCAGGATTCTCTCGGCACCACGGGAACCACCTTCTCTACTCTCACTGAACACCCCTGGGATGTATCTGTAAAAATTGGAACACCTTTCGGCTAGGTGAGCTAAAACGGAAAAGACATCTTTTGTTACACTGTTTGTCCTGGGTACAAGTTAGCTGACAATGAAAAGTGGTCAGAGAGTGGAACTGTGAGCTTCATCGCCATCCCGCAGCTCCGTCTTTCCAGAGGAATCAGGGACAATGGTCAGAAGTACCCATGAGTAGGTATTTATGGCCTTACAACGGAACCCGGCTTTATGCAGCACCTGCAGGCTAAAATCCAGTAAGCCAGAAAGCCCCCCAGACCCATGCGAAGACCCTCTTTTATTAAAGGGAAGGGACTCCAGGCCCCATGGCCCAACTCCAAGTCCAGATAGGGGTTCTCAGGGCTCCACACCTCCTTCCGACTCCCCAGCATCCCCCGCACTATCAGAGTCTCCTGTGGAATCTAATCCCATTTCACCCCCTCCTTATGCTCCTCCTCCTTTGCAGGTACAATAGGGACTTGCCCAGCTGGAGCTGCTCGCACTGGGACTTCACACCATCCAGGGCCAGAGAAACTGCTCCCCTTATGGGAGGTCCCAAATGGAGAGGGGACCATTATGACACATGTCCCATAAATGATCTAATTTATAGACTCACATCTATAAATAATCTAATCCAATGGAAGCAAAAAAAACAAAAACTCATCTTCTGTAGCAGAGAAATGGAGAGTAGCCCTAGGAGTCCTCCCGAAACTGGGAGAAACACCCTGTCTGGTTGTGGGAGAAACACCTCGTCCAGTTGTGGGAGAAACGCCTGGTCCGGTTGTGGGAGAAACGTCTCATCTGGTTGGCTCCTTTCCAAAGCAGCTGGACTCTGCGCCCTGCAGGTGGCCTGGCTGCCTTAGGGCAGTTGCAGCCATCGCCATTCTAGTAGAAGAAGCCCAAAACCTGACTTTTTTTTTTTTTTTTTTTTTTTGAGACGGAGTCTTGCTCTGTCACCAAGCTGGAGTGCAGTGGTGTGATCTCGACTCACTGCAACCTTTGCCTCCCGGGTTAAAGCGATTCTCCTGCCTCAGCCTCCCGAGTAGCTGGAATTACAGGCATGCACCATCACGTCTGGCTAATTTTTGTATTTTTAGTAGACGCGGGGTTTCACCATGCTGGCCAAGGTGGTCACAAACTCCTGACCTAAAGTGACCCACCCGTCTCAGCCTCCTAAAGTGCTGGGATTACAGGAGTGAGCCAGCTTGCCCGGCCCCAAAACCTGACTTTCAGACACACCTTCGAGGTCCTCACTCCCCACCAGGTGCAGGGAGTTTTAGAAATAAAGGGCCATGTTGGCTCTTGGGAGGAAGACTTGCCGTGATCAGGCGCCCTCCTGGACTCCCTCAAGGTTACTATAAAAACCTGTGGTACCCTTAATCCAGCTTCTCTCATGCCAGCCTGTTCCTGGGAGAACCTAACTCGTTCCAGGGTTGCAACATGGGCCAGGCCTTCCACAGTAGAATAGACCTCAGGGGTGCACCCTCTAGAATCCTGGTGCTGAATGGCTCACGGATGGAAGTAGTTGCATGGAAAATAAAAAAAGAGGGGCAGGACATGCTGTGGTTAGTCTACACCAAACAACAGATGCCCACACTGCCACCTAATACCTCGGCGCAAAAAGCAGAGTGAGTCCCCTGACCAGGGCCCGGCTCGGGGTCGGGGAAAGGCGCTTCACGGGTGTGCGGACTCCAAGGGCGCCTCCCTTGTCCCTCGTGCACACACAACATTTGGAAAGAACAGGTCTTCTAAATGCAAGGAAATCCCCCATTACATATGCAAAAGAGATACTGCGGCTTTTAGAGGCTGTGCAGGAGCCTGAGCGAGTGGCAGCCCTTCACTGCCTGGGACATCAAAGAGGAAACTCCTCAGTGACATTGGGAAATGCAAGGGCTGACAGGAAAGCTAAGAGGGAACTCCGGGAGCAGTGGCCCAGCTAGCCTTGTTCCCCTGTGCCCATTCTCTTGACGTAAATCCATCTTAACTACAAAAGAACTAGCAGCTCAGCGTGGTGGCTGTAATCCCAGCACTTTAGGAGGCCAAGGCGAGCGGATCATCTGAGGTCAGGAGTTCGAGACCAGCCTAGCCAACATGGTGAAACCCCGTCTCTACTAAAAATACAAAAATTAGCTGGCCGTGATGGCATGCACCCGTAATCCCAGCTACTCGGGAGGCTGAGGCAGGAGAGTCACTTGAACTGGGGAGGCAGAGGTTGCAGCGACCCAAGATCGCACCATTGCACTCCAGCCTGGGTGACAGAGCAAGACTCTGACTCAAAACTAATAATAATTAAAACATCAAAACAAGCATAAGCTAAAGAAAGTCAGGGGACTCTAACACCTGAAGGTTAGTGGCTCATAGGTCAAAAGCTCTTGCTTCCTCAGCCAGACCAGTAGAAAATGGTTAAAAGTTTACATGATTCCCAGCTGGGCACAGTGGCTCACACCTGTAATCCCAGCACTTTGGGAGGCCGAAGCACGTGGATCACTTGAGGTCAGGAGTTCTAGACCACCCTGGCCTACATGGAGAAACCCCGTCTCTACTAAAAATACAAAAATTAGCCGGGCATGGTGGCACCCACCTGTAATTCCAGCTACTCGGGAGGCTGAGGCAGGAGAATCACTTGAACCCGGGAGGCAGAGGTTGCAGTGAGCCGAGATCGTGCCACTGCACTCCAGCCTGGGTGACAGAGTGAGACTCTGTCTCAAAAAAAAAAAGAAAAAGAAAAGAAAAAAGCCGGGCGTGGTGGCTCAAGCCTGTAATCCCAGCACTTTGGGAAGCTGAGGCGGGCAGATCACGAGGTCAGGAGATGGAGACCATCCTGGCTAACACGGTGAAACCCCGTCTCTACTAAAAATACAAAAAATTAGCCAGGCGTGGTGGCGGGCGCCTGTAGTCCCAGCTACTTGGGAGGCTGAGGCAGGAGAATGGCGTGAACCCGGGAGGCAGAGCTTGCAGTGAGCCGAGATCGCACCACTGCACTCCAGCCTGGGGGACACAGCGAGACTCCGTCTCAAAAAAAAAAAATTTACATAATTATCTCCATATGGGGCAGGACACCATGACCACCTGGGTAGACCATCTGTTTATGGGCAAGGGCCTGGCAACCACAATAGAGTCACTCGGGCCTATGAACTTTGCTCCCAAAATAACCGTGGGGGCAAACAAAGACAAAGGCCTCTCACTAACCCCAGTCCAGCAGCGAGGAACCCAGGAACCCCTCCTGCTGAGGACTGGCAGGTTGACCGCACCCACACGCCCTCCTTTCGAGGCTTTAAATACCTTTTGGTTTTGTAGACACCTTTACCGGTTGGGTGGAAGCTCTCCCCCAAGAACAGAGAAAGCTACAGAAGTGGTCAAGGCATGTTTTGGCCTCCCCCGCTCCTTGCAGCTAGAACCCAGCAGGGAGCTCGAGCTTTGGGAATTAAGTATCGTCTCCGCTCCTCGTGGAGGCCGCAATCCTCCGGCAAGATTGAAAGGACCAGTCACACTTTAAAGCAAACCCTGGCAAAATTATGCCAGGAAACTTCTGGGTCTTGGTATACTCTGTCATCTATCGCGTTCATGAGAATACAAACGGTCCCCAAAGCGAAAAGGAAACTTAGTCTTTTTGAAATGACTTATGGGAGACCCTCCCTCACCTTAGACCTGTTAATCAAACCTGAAACTCAGTGTATTGTAAAATATATTCAAAATCTAGGCCAGGTACGGCTGGCTGTCCAGGAATATGGCAACACAGGGCTGCCCTCGCCTGGCAAGTGAAACACAACAGCAAAATGCTGCCTGGAGACTGGGTCCTATTAAACACCTAGAAGGAAGGTTCCCCAGCAGATCAACTTCTTCCTAAATGGAAGGGACCTTACCAAGTGCTACAAACCACCCCCGATGGCTGTAAAGCTACAGGGAGTCACCAGCTGGGCCCACATGACCAGAATTAAACTTTGCAATTAACCTTTACAGAAACCAGAGGAAGCCGCTCATGACACCCGGGAGCTCACAGAGGCTCTGAAGTTTCTATTCAAGAAAACAACTCCAGATGGGGCTGATCTGGAAGACAAGTAACATCTTCCTTTTCTTGGTGCTCGCCTGCCGTGCTCTAGGTGCTTTTAGAGATGCTGGTCTGTGTGCTAGGGAAGCGATGAACCATACTGTTAGTCTATTAAACATAACTCAACCTGGCTGGCTTTCCATGACTACCAAACGCTGGGAATATGCCAGACCTGTGCCCGTGGAAGACTCTGGCCTCCCAGCACACCTCCAGGAACAAACTCCCTGGCCCGCAGGATGGGGATAGCAACCCCAACCGTCAATACAAAGGGATTTTACTGAGTGGGCTCATGGGTTCTTTAAGTTCCCCCTCTTAACGATCAACGGTAATTCAAACGTCCCAAAAGGAGAAATGCTTTCTTAGCATATCTTTTACCTGGAGTATTTCCCCTTCTGCCTTTACAGCAATCATGCCAGTTCTACCACTTTTGCAAGAAAGCTCCAAGAGAGTCAGTGTAGCTGAAACTTTGTCACTGGGTCACCTATCTAGTCCATATGTCTGCAGGAATTATACTGATAAATGGACAACTCACCATGCAATCAATCTCCCGCTCTATCCTGTTCCCTGACCGGCATGGTTTCTACTTCCTGTCAGCACAACTAGGACGTCTGGTTTCTGCTGGGCTGCCCTCTCATGGGAAGCCTTTAATCACTCTATCTCAATATATCCTCTGGGGACCATCAACATTTCCTATTAAAGATAACTACACCTGGCCGGGCGCGGTGGCTAACGCCTGTAATCCCAGAACTTTGGGAAGCCAAGGCGGGTGGATCACAAAGTCGGGAGATCAAGACCATCCTGGCTAACACAGTGAAACCCCTCCTCTACTAAAAATACAAAAAATTAGCCAGGCGTGGTGGTGGGTGCCTGTAATCCCAGCTACTTGGGAGGCTGAGGCAAGAGAATGGCGAACCTAGGAGGCAGAGTTTGCAGTGAGCTGAGATGGTGCCACTGCACTCCAGCCTGGGGGACAGAGCTACACTCCATCCCAAAAAAAAAAAAAAAAAAAAAAGAGAGAGAACTACACTTGTGGTGGGACCCTAAGAGGGGAACCCTATTTAAAGAACTTGTTAACACTACCATCCAACTCTACCATCCCCTGATGGGCCCAGTGACCACTGCCAACATAGCTGCACAAAACCTTTCACTTACAGGCCAGAAAATAGAAAACCGCCTCTTATAGAACCTCCACTGCTTTTACCACTATAATGAAAAATACTTTTGTAGCACAAATTTCACCACCACACGGAGTTGTGGGGGGTTGTGGATCTCCAGTGTATCTACGACTCCCTCCACTCTGGAAGGGACAGCGCTCCATCGCTTACAGCTCCCTCCATCTAACTCCACGCTTACAGCTCCCCCCATCTAACTCCACACTGGCTACTACGTCTCCCCCTTTTCCCACGTACCAACATTGCGCGAGCCGCCTCTGAGCAGGACCCCTTCTTCCCTTGGGTTTAGTATTATCCTCTCTATTGGGATTAGCAGGGACAGCTACGGGAGACAGAGCCTTGGGAATCCAGCATAAACTGTCTTGGGAGACTGAATGGCCCTCCAGCAAACGGCAGAGGGCCTCATGAGTCTTCAACAGCAGCTGGACTCCCTGGCTGCCGTAGTCCTGCAAAACCGAGGGGCCTTAAATCTTCTCATGCTGGACAAGGAGGAACGTATCTATATCTAAAAGGGGAATGCCATGTCTACGTCAATCAGCCCAGTTTGGTCGTAGAACGAATTAAAAACATTGTTACCCAGGCAGACAAAATGGAATCTTTAGGAACTTCCATGGGAACTTGGAAGCAATGGCTGTTGTCTGCCCTACTCCCTTTAATAGTGCTGATTATTACCACACTTTTAGCCTTAACTTTTAGACCAACTTTGTTTTTTTTTGTTGTTGTTGTTGTTGCTTTTCTGTTTTAAGATCATTTATTAGAACACAGTCATTCAGAAGCCATTGAGACATCAGGCAGCAGGAAGGAAGCTGGGGCGGAGCAGGCCCTGGGAAGGACCAAGGACAAAGTAATAGCCACAGTAATGACATTTCATTTTATTCTGATAAAGACTAATGTATGCCTGATAACCTAGTGAGAATCCATAAGTTTGGCAGTTCACAACATTTTTAGAAAGCACATACGATTAACATTCAAATAAGGCATTATAGAAAGTTTTGTAAAGAATGAAGTGTTTACTGTCATTCTTTTAAAAAACCTTGGCTCATCTTGAAAGATCAATGAATTTTTAAAATATCAGAAGAAAAGAAAAATAAAAATTTCCCCCCAAAATACGTAAGAACCACTTACTGGCACTGGTATTTTAAGTACCTGGAAAAAAACGGACCAGATTTTTAAAGGCAATTAATAACAGCTTGTACGAGCGTTTGTTTCATTTGACTTGGCATCAAGTAAAGGAAGAGTAAATACGCCGTGAAAGACGCCATCGGGCTTTTCCTCCACTTCTCCCAGACCACACAGCACATCAGCAGCCACCCTTGCTGCCCACTCAGGAATCACTGTAGATTCCAATTTTTAAATGGCTGCTTAGACGACGCCAATAGAGTTCTTTCTCCTTACAGTAAGGCGGCAGTGAATGCTAACAGGTATCGAGTTCTCTGATCAGGAACAAAGAACTCCTTCAGGAAACTCACTCACTTTCCTGGTCCTTGTTAACCTGTCACGTAAATTCTTTTTATTGGCACACCTGTTTACTAATTATGATTGATTGCTATTTATGCCAAGGGAGCATTTCCCAGGCGTGCCTCATCTGTTTACTCATGACACAGTGAGCCTACTTTATTTACACAGTGCCGTGGGTTTCCTCTTTTTTCTTTTCTGTTTTTGGTGGTGGGGGTGGCACTATCACTTGTTATTTATCAGGGTAGATCATACATTTGGATCGAAAAGAGAAACCGGCAACTAGATCCTAAAACACATTTATCAACCTGAGTCACATCGGGAAACATATAGACTTTAATTCCATTTTGTTGAAAATTCATTCAACTTTGGTGCTTGTCCAAGGACTTATGATGTCAATTTCTGACATAAATCATAACCCCGAGTATATATGTATTTTCAAAAGAAACAAGTCATCTTAAAGTAATATTTTTCTATATGCTAATTGATACATTTTTATAGCAAATTGAAAATTCTGAGCAAACTGAAAGTATGCTTAACAACAAAATAAATACAGCATATATGGTTAGCACATACATTTCTTACTGTAAAGGCAGAAGTGAATTTGTGTCTTACAATAAATCTGTAAATCCAGTTGTTTTCTTTCTGGAATTTATATAATGTCTCACCATGTTCCACAAAAAGGCTAGAAATGCCTTTTTTTTGGAATCAATCTATGCAAAAATTTCTGATTACATATTTTCCCCAAATGACATGTAACTTTTTTTAACTTTTCCAGAAAAATATGGAAACTTTATCAACCACTTATTAACTGAACAAAAAGTGAGATTACTACAAAATGCTCGTTTAATTTTGCTCTAACAGATGTTTTAAAAGTTCAGGCATCGCTGATATTTTTGAGGATAACTGCATAAAACACACTAGATGATTTCAAAGGATGAATCTTAGTATCTGACTCATCTGGCACATCCTTAGTATCCAGAATAAAATCAGTAGAAATAAAAGTAATATAGTTTTCAAAGAATTCATACATATTGGAAGTCTTAGGAAAAGTGCTTCTAAATGCAGGGACTAGGAGGTTTGCCCATCTTCCTGTTAATAGTTACACACATTTCTCCTCATGGAGTAACTGAAGTTTTCTGGCTTGTTTGTGCAACTTTAGTTGGTAGGAAAGTGTATATATAGGGCCAAATCTTGTTGGTTTCTGTTCCGGAGAATGTTTCCAACACCCCCTTTTTTCTGGTAATATTCCGGGACTGGCTTTGTTTGGCTTTATAAGCCTTTAGTCTCTTTTTTACTATTATTATTATTTTTATTTTTTTTTTTTGAGGTGGAGTCTTGCTCTGTCACGCAGGCTGGAGTGCAGTGGTGCCATCTTGGCTCACTGCAATCTCCACCTCCAGGGTTCAAGCAATTCTCCTGCCTCAGCCTCCTGAGTAGCTGGGACTACAGGCGCCTGCCACCATGCCCGGCTACATTTTGTATTTTTAGTAGAAACAGGGTTTCACCATATTGGCCAGGCTGGTTTCGAACTCCTGACCTTGTGATCCACCCGCCCCGGCCTCCCAAAGTGCTGGGATTACAGGCGTGAGCCACTGCGCCTGGCTGCCTTTAGTCTCTTGATAACCGTCTCTGGTTTATCATCCTCATGCTGAATGAGAGGGTCCCCAGTCAGGTCATCAATGCCCACAGTTTTGGGAGGGTTGAATTCAATGTTGAAGACTCAGCCGCTGGCGGGATGAATCCA
Source organism: Homo sapiens (assembly GCF_000001405.40). Lineage (NCBI taxonomy): Eukaryota > Metazoa > Chordata > Mammalia > Primates > Hominidae > Homo > Homo sapiens. The sequence continues at coordinate 47,976 of NT_187573.1, forward strand.
GCAAGCAGTAAGGCGTTGTTTAATGACCTCAAAGGGCACATTCAGCTTAATCACTGTGTCGATCTGATCAGCTCTATCTAGGGCTTCTGCCTGTGGATGTGTTCTTGAAAAACCATCAACAGCTAGACTGGGTGAGACTTTTCGGCTCCTGCAGCTGGCCTGACTGGGGGCCTGTGTCGGGTGCCATATGAGAGATTTCAACCAGCCCATGCGCAACCAGAGGGATGCGGCCCACGGTGCGGGTGGTCTCAGCGTCGTCTCTGTCTGGCCCTCCCTCCCTCTGCATCTCTCTCAAATCTTGGCAGCCCACAGACTGAGTCAAATTGAGAAGAAAGAAAGTGGAGGCAAGTTCATTAACGTCAGTGCAATTAATTTAACAGTATTCAATTACAAACAAATAGAGCATTTCAGAGAGTGATGAGGGTTCTGAGGATGCACAAACAAGGGGTGTAGGGTCCAGCCCCACAGGGTAGGTGGGTCTCTCCCCGCGTGCGGCGACAAGAGATTGTAGAAATAAAGACACAAGACAAAGAGATAAAAGAAAAGACAGCTGGGCCCAGGGGACCACTACCACCAAGTTGCAGAGACTGGTAGAGGCCCCGAATGTCTGGCTGCACTGATATTTATTGGATACAAAGCAAAAGGGGCAGGATAAGAAGAGTGAGCCATCTCCAATGATAGGTAAGGTCACGTGGGTCGCGTGTCCACTGGACAGGGGGCCCTTCCCTGCCTGGCAGCTGAGGCAGAGAGAGAGAGGAGACAGAGAAAGACAGCCTACGCCATTATTTCTGCATATCAGAGACTTTTAGTACTTTCACTAATTGACTACTGCTATCTAGAAGGCAGAGCCAGGTGTACAGGATGGAACATGAAAGCGGACTAGGAGCGTGACCACTGAAGCACAGCATCACAGGGAGACGGTTAGGCCTCCGGATAACTGCGGGCCGGTCTGACTAATGTCAGGCCCTCCACATGCAGTGGAGGAGTAGAGTCTTCTCTAAACTCCCCTGGGGAAAGGGAGACTTCCTTTCCCGGTCTGCTAAGTAGCGGGTGTTTTTCCTTGACACTTATGCTACCGCTAGACCTCGGTCCGCCTGGCAACCGGCGTCTTCCCAGACGCTGGCATTACTGCTAGACCAAGGAGCCCTCTGGTGGCCCTGTCCGGGCATAACAGAAGGCTCGCACTCTTGTCTTCCGGTCTCACTTCACTATGTCCCCTCAGCTCCTATCTCTGTATGGCCTGGTTTTTCCTAGGCTATGATTATAGAGTGAGGATTATTATAATGTTGGAATAAAGAGTAATTGCTACAAACTAATGACTAATGATATTCATATATAATCATATCTAAGATCTATATCTGGTATAACTATTCTTGTTTTATATTTTATTATACTGGAACGGCTCATGTCCTCTGTCTCTTGCCTCGGCGCCTGGGTGGCTTGCCGCCCACATGCCTCAGCCTCCCAGAGTGCAGGGATTACAGTCATGAGCCACCGTATGCGGCCACGTCTTCTTATGAAAAGAAATTCTCAATGTTAATGAGGTCAAATTCATGTATATTTACTCTGATAGTGCTTTTGTGGAGTAGACAAAGATTACTTAAAATATTCCCATGTGTTGACTTCTAAATGTTTTATGGTTTTAAGTCCTACATTCAGGGCTAGGATGGTTTTGGGTAGGCTGTGAGGTTTGGGGTCATGATTTACTGAAGGTTTTTTTTTTAGACAAATATTCCATTGATCCAGCACCATTCTTCAAGCTAACTTATAACGATCCCAAATGGGAGTATGGAACTCTAAGAAGGCAAGAGAAGCAGAATAATAACTATTTGGATAAATATAAAATATCAATGGTGTAAAATAAGAATAACATCTTGTAGGTTTATAATATATATGCAAGTAAATATATATGGGACTATAGGCACGCACGACCACACTCAGCTAATTTTTAAAATTTTTTTGTAGAAATGGAATCATGATATGTTGCCTGGCTGGTCTTGAACTCCTGAGCTCAAGTGATCCTCCCACCTCAGCCTCTCAAAGTACTGGGATTACAGTCATGAGCCACTGTGTCTGGCACAAGCAAATATTAAAACAATGAAAGTACAATGGAATAGAGGTAGGTAAATGAAGTTATGCTGTGTAATGTTCTGAATTGTTCATGAGTGTGGGCGGCAAGCCACCCAGGTGCCGAGGCAAGAGACCAAGGGCACAAGCTGTTCCAGTATAATAAAGAAAATATATAGAATAAGAATAGTTATACTAGAAATAAATTATAGATATGATTATATATGAATATTATCAATCATTAGTTTGTAGCATTACTCTTTTTTCAATATTATAATAATCTTTGTTCTACAATTATAACCTAGGAAAAACCAGGCCATACAGAGATAGGAGCTGAAGGGACATGGTGAGAAGTGACCAGAAGACAAGAGTGCGAGCCTTCTGTCATGCCCGGACAGGGCCACTACAGGGCTCCTTGGTCTAGCGGTAGTGCCAGTGCCTGGAAGGCACCTGTTACTTAGCAGACCAGGAAAGGGAGTCTCCCTTTCCCTGAGGAAGTTAGAGAAGACTCTGCTCCAGCACCTCTTGTGGAGGGCCTGACATCAGTCAAGCCCGCCCGCAGTTATCTGGAGGCCTAAACGTCTCCCTGTGATGCTGTGCTTCAGTGGTCACGCTCCTGATCCACTTTCATGTTCCGCCCTGTACACCTGGCTCCACCTTCTAGATAGCAGTAGCAGAATTAGTGAAAGTATTAACGTCTTTGATCTCTCCAGAACTACATAGAAGAAATAATGACGTAAGCTGTCCCCTCTCTCTCTCCGCCTCGGCTACCAAATAGGGAAGGGCCCCCTGTCTGGTGGACACATGACTTGTGTGACCTTACCTATCATTGGAGATGACTCACACTCCTTACCCTGCCCTCTTGCCTTATATACAATAAATAACGGCACGGCCAGGCATTCAGGGTCACTACCGGTCTCCACGCCTTGGTGGTAGTGGTCCCCAGGGCCCAGCTGTCTTTTCTTCTATCTCTTTGTCTTGTGTCTTTATTTCTACGATCTCTCATCTCCACACACGAGGAGAAAAACCCACAGGTCCTGTAGGGCTGGACCCTATAATGAGACAGTAACCAACTTAAGATGGACTATAGTAAGTCAAAGATGCATATTGTAATGTCTAAAATAACCACTGATGAATCACGTAAAATATATCTAAGAATATAACAAAAGAAAATACGAGAAATATTTAACAAATCCAAAAGAATACCGTAAAGGAAAAGAAAGATAAAAAACAGCTGGGAAAAATAAAAGCAAACAGTGAAATGGAAGGTTTTAACCCAATTATATTAGTTCTCACATTAAATGTAAATGAACTTATTCTAATTTATAGACAAAAAGTTTTAGGCCAAATAAAGATAACAATAAACTGGTCACAGTGCTCATTTTAAAAGGAAGGACACAGGCCAGACATGGTGGCTCACGTCTGTAATCCCAGCACTTTGAGGGGCTGAGGTCAGAGGATCTCTTGAGCCCAAGAGTTCAAGACAAGCCTGGGCAACATAGCAAACCCCTGTCTCTTAAAAAAAAAAAAAAAATCACTGAATGAAAAGAATGGGAAAAGATACATCATGCTGATAGTATTAGGCAGGAAATGCAGCTGAAATAAAAGGATATTTATAGTGATAAAAGGGTCAACACAACACGACAATATTTTAATCCTACATTTGTACATATCTAATAAAATAGCTTCAAAACATTTAACCACAATAGGACAAAGCTGAAAATCAAGGCAAATCCACAATCACACTTAGGTTTGTTTGTTTGGTTGGTTGGTTGGTTGGTTGGTTTGGTGTTTTTTATTTTGTTTGTTTGTTTTTGAGAGGGAGTTTTGCTCCTGTTGCCCAGACTAGAGTGCAATGGTGCGATCTTGGCTCACTGCAAACTCCACCTCCCGGGTTCAAGTAATTCTCCTGCCTCAGCCTCCCAAATAGCTGGGATCACAGGCATGTGCCACCATGCCCAGCTAATTGTGTATATTTAGTAGAGATGGGTTTTCTCCATGTTGGTCAAGGCTGGTCTTGAACTCCTGACCTCAGGTGATGTGCCCACCTTGGCCTCTCAAAGTGCTGGGATTACAGGCGTGAGTCACCACACCTGGCCAGGTATTTCAATACGAATCTTTAAGTAACTGATAGAACAAGCGGACAAAAATTAGAATACATGAATTTATACAAGATTATAAATATTCACATACTGAACATACATGGAATGCTGTACCAAACACCTGGAGAATCCACATTTCTTTAAGTGAATGTAGAACATTTATCAAATGTGTCCCATGCTCAGCCAGGCAATTAATCTATAATTAGAAATAAAACATATAAAGGTTGGAAAGAAATAAATGCAATATGGCAAGAAAAAGATATGATTAGAAAGGAAATGAAACTGTCATTATTTGCAAATGATATATTTGCATATGGGGAGAAACCAAAATAATTTGCAAACAAAATATACATAAATTTAACAGGGTTCTGAAGGTCAAGGTACAAAAATCAAATATATTCTATAGACTGACAAGGTAAAGTGAAATGTTAAAGACAGTATCATTTATATTATCATCAAAACCAATAGAATGTTCAAAATGAAACCTAACAAGAGATGCAGAAGACCTCTACCCTGAAAAACCAAGAAAATACACAAGAGGCCGGGCGTGGTAGCTCACGCCTGTAATCCCAGCACTCTGGGAGGCCAAGGCGGGTGGATCATGAGGTCAGGAGTTCAAGACCAGCCTGGTCAACATGGCGAAATCCTGTTGACCAGGAGTACTAAATACACAAAAAATTAGCTGGGAGTGATGGTGGGCACCTGTAATCCCAGCTACTCGGGAAGCTAAGGCAGGAAAATCATTGAACCTGGGAGGCGGATGTTACAGTGAGCCAAGATCGCACCATTGCATTCCAGCCTGGGTGACAGAGTGAGACTCCATCTCAAAGAAATAAAAATACACATGAGAAAAAAATGGAGATCTATATAAGGAAGGACATACAAAGGCATCTGTTGGAAGAGTTAATACTTTTAAATTGATGTACAGATTTGATGCAATCCTGATCAAAAGGGTATCAGGAATGATGATGATGATGATGATGATGATGATGTCAAAATTCGCCTGCTGAGTCTGTAATTTATCTGGAAATACTAAAGTTTTAGAATAGCCAGGGCAACCTTGGAGAAGAACAAGGGCTTATGAATCACGTGTCAAGATTTTCTGAAACTTTCCATTGTTATGACAGCTTGGTATTGGCAAAGGGGACAGACAGCTGCTGAGTTGGGCCTGTCCCCTCCATTTTTTAGCAGCACTTGATCACCAGGCTGGAAAATCTGGACAAGTTCTGCCGAGTTCACAGGCTCCTGTTTGGAGCAAGCTTATGCAAAACATGAAGGATTTGTCCCACGTGAGTATGTTTAATAGTTGGCTTTCTACTAAGAGGCACCCCAGTAACCTGAGACAGACTAGCAGCAAAGGGTCTCCCATATATAATTTCATAGGGACTTAACCTGATCCCACTTCTGGGGGTCACTCTTACCCAGAGCAGTGCAAGGCCAAAGCCCTAAATCCATTTCAGTTGAGTTTCCTGACACCGTTTGGCAAGAACTGTTTTAACGGTTTGATTTTTCCTTTCCATCAGTCCAGAGGATTGCGGTCTCCATGCTGAATGCAGCTCCCAATTTACTCCGAGTGCCCTGAGTACTTGGGACAACTGCAGGGCTCTCGTAAGGGCAATCAGTTCTGCCTCCTGTGCAGAGGTTCCTATTGGTAAAGTCCTCGCTTCTGTTACCTCGGAAACAGTTACCAAGGCATATGCAGCATTTCTTTTTCTGTTGGTTACCAGGTTGCTCCCATCCACAAACAATGTCCAGTCTGCATGTGGCAGGGCTGTGTCCTTTAAATTAGGGCAACTGGAAAACACCTGGTCAATAATTTCTAAGTGATTGTGCATAGGTTCTTTAGGCTCTTCAGTAGCGGGAAGTACAGTTTCTGGGTTTAAGACTCCAGCAGTCTGCACTTTTACTGCAGGGTCATCTGGGAGTGTGGCCTGGCATTTGCTCAGCCTGCCCGCTGTCAGCCAGTAGCCTCCCTTCTGTTCCAGTAACACCTGCACCTGGTGAGGCTCATGGATCATGATGCGCTGTCCCCAAACCAACTTTTCAGCTTCCTTTAACAGCAGGCAGTGGCAGCAACTGCCCTTACACAAGGAGCCAGCCTTTGGCCACAGCATCCAGTAAGCCACTGGCTGCAATATTCTTCCTAATTTCTGTGTAAGGACCCCTAGTGTTAGACCCAGTCTCTCAGGCATGTACAGGGCTCATGAAAGGGCTTGTGAGAATTTGGGAGCCCCAGGGCTAGGGCAGAGGTTAACTTAGGTTTCAGTTATTCACATGCATGCTGATGTTTTGTTCACAGTCGAAGGGGCCATTGTTAGCTCCCTTCAACAGTTTGTCTAGCGGCTTTACCAGTAGTTCATAGTTAGGAATCCAGATTAACAAAACCCTGTTATGCCTAGAAATCCTTTTAGCTGCCTTCAGGTAGCGGTGGCTGAGATGGAAGCAGTTGCATTTCGCCCTTCCACTGTTAGAGCTCTGTTTCCCTTCTATAGAGAAAACCTAAATATTTCACAGTTTGTTGGCATATTTGAGCCTTTTTACTTGAAACCTTATATCCACAGGTTGCTAGATGGTTTAGGGTTTTAATGGTGTTATTCTGATAGCCCCATTCAGAGGGGCTAGATATTAGTAAATCATCCACATATTGTAAATATACCCAGTTTTTCGATTGCAAGCTCCTCAAATCTTGAGCCAAGGCTACTCCAAATATAGTTGGAGAGCTTTGAAATCCTGGTGGGAGCACAATCCAATGATACTGAACTTGTGTGTGGCTTTAGGACCTGTCTATTCAAAGGTGACCAACAATTGGCTTTCTGTGTCTGTGGGTATGCAAAAGAAAACTTCTTTTAAATCCAGTACTGCAAACCATTTATGATCTCCAGGAAGAGAAGCAGACATAGTATACAGGTTAGCTACAGTGGAATGTATGTCCTCTACAACATCCCAGTTTGGGTCCGTGCGGGGAATTGCTCCAGTCGGGATCTGGAGTGTCGTCTGGATTTTCATCATGAAGGTGCTGTGCCTCTTCCTTTGCTTCATTTAAAACCAGCCATAGCTCATCTGCAGTGAGCATAATGTCCCAGAGAGCCTGCTCGTCTGCCCAGGTGAGATGGTGTGCAGCAAATAGTGGTAAATAATTCAGCCATCTTTCAGGGATCCTCCCTGTCTGTAGGGAGGGTTAGAGTTCTTCCAATGTAACAAGTCCGAGGTGGAGCAGGGATTACAGGCCCAATCATTTTGGGCTGGAGCTGCTTGCTGATGGATGTTGTCATCGTGGGAACACTATGCAGTGCCCTGCTCTGGACTCTGTGACTCCTCAGCCAAAATTAGTACCTTGCCTAATCTGAGAGGAAGACAGAAGCCCTGCTGCTTCCCTGTACTCTGGGGGTGACATTCCCTCTCTTTTCTGAGGTGGGGCAGGAGACACTATGGGGTTTAGGGTACTTACTGTCAGGTTTGGGAGGTTTTCTCTTCCTCCCCTGGGGAGCAGGACAGACCTTAGCAGTGCCTCACACCATGAGCTCATTTCCCTTTTCTTCAGCATCCTCGTTATGCAGCCACATACATGCCAGCATGCAAGGTGTTCTGCCCCCTTTGCCTGACCTCTGGCAGAACAGTTTTAATGGATAAATGTATGAAATTTCGAAGATCCAAAAACTGGCCATCATTTCTCAGACCCTCAAACAAACATTGGCCAAGCTGTGTTGCAATAGAAGATTTTTCTTTTTTTGGTCATGGGTGGATAACCAAAGTGCTTCCAATCTGACAGAATTCTCCTCCCTAGATGACTGTGTAGGGAGAGACGCAGTATTGCCTGTACTGGAGCCGGAAGACTTAATGACTCCCATGCCGGGCGCAGGACTTGTGTGTGGCCGGTTGTCCCTTTCTTTCTCTTTCTTTCTTTCTCTTTCTTTCTTTCTTTCTTTCTTTTCTCTCTTTCTTTCTTTCTTTCTTTCTTTCCTTCCTTCCTTCCTTCTTTCTTTCTTTCTTTCTTGTACGATATCTATTTTGTTTTCCTCCCGAGAATAGTCTGTCTTCAGTCTTTAAGGACTCAGTTCCTCACGTGGGCTTTGGTGGCGGTCGTGGGGCAGCACCCACAGGTCTAAATCGAGGCGGGGGTGTTCGGTCCTTGTGGGCTTCATGAGATCCATTCCTGACTACCTTGCTGTGCATTGCACAACCTACACAAGAAAGTAGCTTCACATACAGCTTGGGAAGCACATAGGCATCGAAGACACTCGCTTCGGAAATGTCCCTGACTGCTGCGGCCTCCATGATGTTTCCAATGATGAATTTCTTTTCTTTTCTTTTCTTTTCTTTTCTTTTCTTTTCTTTTCTTTTCTTTCGAGATGGGGTCTCACTCTATCACTCAGGCTGGAGTGCAGTGGCGCAATCTCAGCTCACTACAACCTCCGCCTCCCAGGTTCAAGCGATTCTCATGCCTCCTGAGTAGCTGGGATTACAGGCACCCACCATCACACCGGCTATTTTTTGTATTTTTAGTAGAGACGGGGTTTTGCCATGTTGGCCAGGCTGGTCTGGAACTCATGACCTCAGGTGATCCACCCACCTTGGTCTCCCAAAGTGCTGGGATTACAGGTGTGAGCCACTGCGCCCAGCCTCAAATGATGAATTTCTTAATGGCCTTGTCCTTGGCCACACATCAGGCACCATTCGTGCAGCGAATCGGCTGCACATGGCTGTGGCCCTTTTTGGCATGACCATTGTTCCTTCTTTTCTTTGTCATCTTGGAGGCATAGACCGGAAAGAGGACAGTTGTTCCTTTCTTTTGGCCAATTTCTCCCTTTTGGAATGGGAATGTTTACCCAATGCCTGCATCCCCATTGTATCTTGGAAATAAATAACTTGTCTTTGAGTTCAAAGGCTCATAGGTGGAAAGAACTCATTTCCAGATGAGACTTTGAACCTGGGACTGGAGGCTTTTGGTTGTGTTGATGCTGGGACGAGTTAAGACTTTGGGGAACTACTGAGAAGGGACGATCTTACTTTGCAATGTGAGAAGGACATGAGATTCGGGAAGCCCAGGGTGGAATGATATGGTTTAGATGTCTATCTCTTCCAAATATCATGGGGAAAAGGCCTCAAAGGCATTTCAGAAATCTCTGGAAGTGTAATCCCCAGTGGTGGAGGTGGGCCTGGTGGGTGGTGTTTGGATCGTTGGGGTGGGTCCCTCATGAACGTGTTGGCGCCATCCTCATGATAGTGAGTGAGTTCTCGCTCTGAGTTCATGTGAGATGTAATTGTTTAAAAGAGTGAGGTGCCTCCTACCCCTTTCTCCACTCTTGTTATGTGAGATACCTGCTGTGGGGAAAAGAAAGAGAGATCAGATTGTTACTGTGTCTACGTAGAAAAGGAAGACATAAGAAACTCCATTTTGATCTCTACTAAGAAAAATTGTTCTGCTTTGAGATGCTGTTAATCTGTAACTTTAGCCCCAACCCTGTGCTCACAGAAACATGTGCTGTATTGAATCAAGGTTTAATGGATTTAGGGCTGTGCAGGGTATGCCTTGTTAACATGTTTGCAGGCAGTGTGCTTGGTAAAAGTCATTGCCATTCTCCATTCTCTATTAACCAGGGACACAATGCACTGCAGAAAGCCACAGGGACCCCTGCCCCTCCACACCTGTGAGTATTTCTCGTCAGGTGGAGATAAGAGACTGAGAAAAGAAATAAGACACAGAGACAAAGTATAGAGAAAGAACAGTGGGCCCAGGAGACCGGCGCTTAACATGCGAGGACCCGCATCGGCGCTGGTCTCTGAGCTCCCTCAGGATTTATTGATCACTATTTTTACTATCTTGGCGAGGGGAGTGTGGCAGGACAACAGGGTGATGGTGGGGAGAAGGTCAGCAGGGAAACATGTGAGCAAAGGAATCTGTATCATGAATAAGTTCAAGGGAAGGTACTGTGCCTGGATGTGCACGTAGGCTAGATTTATGTTTCACTTTACACAAACATCTCAGTGTAGCAAAGAGTAACCGAGCAGTATTGCTGCCAGCATATCTCGCCTCCAGCCACAGGGCAGTTTTCTCCCATCTCAGAATAGAACTAACGGTCAGCTTTACACTGAGGCATTCCATTTCCAGGGACAAGCCGGAGACAGAAACCTTCCTCTTATCTCAACTGCAAAGAGGCCTCCCTCTTTCACTACTCCTCCTCAGCACAGACCCTTCACGGGTGTTGGGCTGGGGGATGTAAGGTCTTTCCTTTCCCACAAGGCCATATCTCAGGCTGTCTCAGTGGGGGGAAACCTTGGTCAATACGCAGGCTTTCTTGGGCAGAGGTCCCTGCGGCTTTCCGCAGTGCATTGTGTCCCTGGTTAATAGAGAATGGAGAATGGCGATGACTTTTACCAAGCATACTGCCTGCCAACAAATTGTTAACAAGGCACATTCTGCACAGCCCTAAATCCCTTAAACCTTGATTCAATAGAGCATATGTTTCTGTGAGCACAGAGTTGGGGCTAAAGTTACAGATTAACAGCACCTCAAAGCAGAACAATTTTTCCTAGTACAGATCAAAATGGAGTTTCTTATGTCTTCCTTTTCTATGTAGACACAGTAACAATCTGATCTGTCTTTCTTTTCCCCACAACCTGCTTCCCCTTTGCCTTCTGCTTTGATTGGAAACTTCCTGAGGCCTCCCGAGAAGCCAAGCAGATGCCAGCACTGTGCTTCCTGTACAGCCTGCAATACCAAGAGCCAATTAAACCTCTTCTTTGTAATTTGCCCAGTCTTAGGTATTTCTTTACAACAACAAAAGAACAGACTATCACAACAGGCAAGAGTCAAAATTTTCTTGTCTCAGTTCCCTTGGAGAACAGTAATTATATATTTATAGTGGTTGTTATGGTGATTTATGCCAACAAAAGGGCACTTGACTAATAATTTCTTTTTTTTTTCTGAGAATATCTCGCTCCAGATTGACTAATAACTTCCTAGAAAACTACCATGCTTAAGATAAAATCCAAGCTCTTCTGCAGTGCCACTCCCAGAATTGTTTATCCTGTCACTGCAGGAGTGAGCTGGGCTGGGTCTGAGATCTTATGTCCCAGGGAGAAATGCTCCCCGCACCGCCCCAGGGGGACCCCAAGGGTCCTGGGAGTTGGAAACGAAAGTTGACCCATGGTGGTTCTGAGTTCCTGCCTCTGAGTCAATAGGCAAAGCAAGGGGCTGTGCCATCCTAGCTGGGGCTGTTTTCAACTCACCAAGGAAGCGAGCTGGCCCCGCTCCCATGGGGTGTGGGGAATTGTCTCTGGGCTCAAGGCTCTCTCTCATCTCTTACGTCTCCCACATCCAAGGGAAAAAGTTAATGGGAACCAGAGCCCCTAGAAAGAGACAAGGCTGCGGAAAGTCCAGACGCTTCCGCAGTGAGGGCTTAGTCACCCTGTAACTGAGTGGCTGGTCTTCAAAATGCATTTTTAAACTTGTTTCCTTTCTCTTGGGTTTCAAGATATAACCTTGAAGCAAACTGCAGAAGCCTTTTCCCTTAGCCTTGAAATACACTCCTCATCCCTCCCTTTCTCACCGTAAATACTCTCTCAAAGTTCTCTGTCCATTAGTATCTAATTATGTGCCTTCTTAGAAGTGCCGCAGGCTAATCTTGAGACAGACAGGCCAAGCCTGGGGACCCAGCCGCAAAATTCCAGAGATGACTTCAAAGTGGGTAATTAACAGCCCGGCCATAGTTGCGATGATGCCAGCCCGCGCTCCAGGTGAACTGGGACCCAAGACAGCCACCAGGACGGGACACACAGGCGCTGTGCTCAGCACGATTCCTGCATGCCTTCCATATCCAGCTTTCCATTTGTGAACCTTTGCCTTTCCCCCCACATTTGAAGTGGTTGCTCTGGGTCAGAATCCAGCTACTTCCTTTCACTAGTCTTGGCTAATGAAGTCTCTTGCTTTCTACCGGCCCCTGCTCTTGTTAATCAGACTCCGCAAGCAGAGAACACCTGAACCTGTGGCGTCTACAAGCCCACCAGTAAAGAGCCCTTTCCTGAGGACAAAATACACGTGAATGAACAGGGGACAGGGGATGTTACAGCGGCCGCACCCAGCGTCGTGGGAAGCCCCAGGCATTAGGGTCCGGCAGTGCACTAGTCAGCTCCTGCCGCCATAACGAACACCACAACTGGGGGCTTAAGCTACAGGAATGGATTCTGTCGCTGTCCTGGAGGCTGGAGATCAGAGATCAAGGTGTCAGCAGGGCTGGCTCCCCCTGGGGCACCTCTCCTTGGCATGCAGATGGCATCTGCTCCCTGCATTCTGTCACGGTTGCCCCTCTGTGTGTGTCTGTGTCCTCACCTCCTCTTATAAGGACACCAGGCATGCTGGACTAGGGCCCACCCTAATGACCCCATTCTACCGTAATCACCTCTTTAAGGACCCTATTTTCAAATGCTATCACATTCTGAGGTAGCGGGAGTGAGGGCTCAACATGTGAATTTGAGGGGGGCACAGTTCAGCCATAACAAGTGCCCATGGGCTTTCTCCAGCTGATATATATATATATTTTTTTTTTTTTTTTTTTTTTTTTTTGAGATGGATTCTCGCCCTGTCGCCCAGGCTGGAGTGTAGTGGCATGATCTCAGCTCACTGCGACCTCTGCCTCCTGGGTTCAAGTGATTCTCCTGCTCCAGCCTCCTGGGTAGCTGGGATTACAGGCGCATGTCACCACACCCAGCTAATTATTTTATCTTTAGTAGAGATGGGGTTTCACCATGTTGGCCAGGCTGTTCTCGAACTCCCGACCTCGTGATCCACTCGCCTCGGCCTCCCAAAGTGCTGGGATTACAGGCGTGAGCCACCGTGCCCGGCCGCAGTTGCCCTATGTTTTTATGTATTATTTCATTTCTTCTCTCACTCCTCCTCTACCCTATTATTTTATACAGGGACTGATGTTGTAAATTAACAGACTTAGTATTTATGTTACACAGTATTCTAACAGGACTGGCTGGCTTCCCAGAGCACACACTTTCACCCAGAAAGAGATCGTATTGATCAGAGTGTGGTGGGGAAAGGAAGGTCACTTGTTTTTACGTGTGGTGGGGAGAGGAAGGTCACTTGTTTTTACATGTGATGGAATAAAGGGTGGAATATAGACTCAGGAGGCGGCATGGCTGGCGGAAGACCCGGCATGGAATACAGACTCAGGAGGCGGCATGGCTGGCGGAAGACCCGGCATGGAATACAGACTCAGGAGGCGGCATGGCTGGCGGAAGACCCGGCATGGAATACAGACTCAGGAGGCGGCATGGCTGGCGGAAGACCCGGCATGGAATACAGACTCAGGAGGCGGCATGGCTGGCGGAAGACCCGGCGTGGAATATAGACTCAGGAGGCGGCATGGCTGGCGGAAGACCCGGCAGCATGGATGTTGGGGAAGCTGTCCCCACAGTGAGAAGACTTGATGGTGGACATGTCAGCTTAAAGCACCCAAGAAGAGGTCTCAAACGTTCTTCTGGCAGCAGTGGTCAGAGGGCTATGGGATAGAGGGGAGGGATGAGTGGGTGGAGCAAGGGGATTTTTAAGGCCCTGAAACGATTCTGCAACATTGTAATGGTGGACGCATGATGTTATGGATTTGTCAAAACCCGCAGAATATACAACACAAAGAGTGAGCCCTGGTGTAAGCTATAAACTTGTGTTAATAACCACGTATCAATATCGGTTTATCCATTGTACCACATGAATGCAAAGTGTGATTAATAGGAGAAATGTGAGACAGGGCAGGATACACGGGAACCCTCTGTACTATCTTCTCGATTTTCTATAAAGCCAAAACTGCTCAAAGAAATAGAGTCTATTGATAAATAAATAAGTTTTCCTGGAAGCCGCTGCAATCCCCAAGGTCCCCAAACAGCTTCCACCCACTGTCACTCTCTACAGCAAACAGCATCCCCACAAGCTCGCAGGAGGACGTCTGTGAGGTTCCCGTCTACGCACGCGCCCGGCTTCAGCGACCCCAGGAAAGGAGGGTCTCCGCTTAATCTTCCAAGATCTACGGGAGTTTCCCTTAGAAAACTCTAATTCAGAGCCACACGGGAGGGAGTCTCGTGGTTCTTCAGAAGAGGGTGTGCTGGGTTCAAGGTTACAACAGAAAATCCAGCACCTTCCACCCCAAAGTCAACACACCATCTAACACAACCTCCCTTCACATTTACCCTCTGAAAAGAATGTGGCACCCCCATGCTTCCTCCTGACATTGCAGTTGGCAGCAATTCCTCTCAGCTATTATTTATCTGAAAAAATGCCTTTATTTTGCCCTCATTTGTGAGGGAAATTTTAAATAGTATCAGAATCCAAGTTGGTAATTTGATTTCTTAGCAGTGTTTGCTTCTGGCTTCCAAAGTTCCTGTTTGAGAAGACAGCCATCATCCTCGGGGTCCCTATTTGAGAAGACAGCCATTGTCCTCGGGGTCCCTGCTTGAGAAGACAGCCGTCGTCCTCGGGTCCCTGTTTGAGGAGACAGCCGTCGTCCTCGGGTCCCTGTTTGAGGAGACAGCCGTCGTCCCCGGGGCTCCTGTTAGAGAAGACAGCCGTCGTCCCCGGGGACCCTGTTTGAGGAGACAGCCGTCGTCCTCGTGGTCCCTGTTTGAGGAGACAGCCATCGTCCTCGGGTCCCTGTTTGAGGAGACAGCCGTCATCCTCGGGGTCCCTGTTTGAGAAGACAGCCGTCGTCCCCGGGGTTCCTGTTTGAGGAGACAGCCGTCGTCCCCGGGGTCCCTGTTTGAGGAGACAGCCGTCGTCCCCGGGGTCCCTGTTTGAGGAGACAGCCGTCGTCCTCGGGTCCCTGTTTGAGGAGACAGCCGTCGTCCCCGGGGTCCCTGTTTGAGGAGACAGCCGACGTCCTCGGGATTCCTGTTTGAGGAGACAGCCGTCATCCTCGGGGTTCCTGTTTGAGGAGACAGCCGTCGTCCCCGGGGTTCCTGTTTGAGGAGACAGCCGTCGTCCCCGGGGTCCCTGTTTGAGCAGACAGCCGACGTCCTCGGGATTCCTGTTTGAGGAGACAGCCGTCATCCTCGGGGTTCCTGTTTGAGGAGACAGCCGTCGTCCCCGGGGTCCCTGTTTGAGGAGACAGCCGTCGTCCTCGGGGTCCCTGTTTGAGGAGACAGCCGTCGTCCTCAGGGTCCCTGTTTGAGGAGACAGCCGTCGTCCTCCGGATTCCTGTTTGAGAAGACAGCCGTCGTCCTCGGGATTCCTGTTTGAGGAGACAGCCATCGTCCTCGGGATTCCTGTTTGAGGAGACAGCCATCATCCTCGGAGTCCCTGTTTGAGGAGACAGCCATCGTCCTCGGGGTTCCTGTCTGACGAAACAGCCGTCGTCCTCGGGGTCCCTGTTTGAGGAGACAGCCATCGTCCTCGGGGTCCCTGTTTGACGAAACAGCCGTCGTCCTCGTGGTCCCTGTTTGAGGAGACAGCCGTCGTCCGCGGGGTTCCTGTTTGAGGAGACAGCCGTCGTCATCGGGATTCCTGTTTGAGAAGACAGCCGTCGTACTCGGGGTCCCTGTTTGAGGAGACAGCCGTCGTCCCCGGGATTCCTGTTTGAGAAGACAGCCGTCGTCCCCGGGGTTCCTGTTTGAGGAGACAGCCGTCGTCCTCGGGGTCCTTGTTTGAGGAGACAGCCGTCCTCCTCGGGATTCCTGTTTGAGAAGACAGCCGTCGTCATCGGGATTCCTGTTTGAGAAGACAGCCGTCGTACTCGGGGTCCCTGTTTGAGGAGACAGCCGTCGTCCCTGGGGTCCCTGTTGGAGAAGACAGCCGTCATTCTTGGGGTCCCTGTATAAGGAGACAGCCGTGATCCTCGGGGTCCTGTTTGAGGAGACAGCCGTCGTCCCCAGGGTCCCTGTTTGAGAAGACAGCCGTCATTCTTGGGGTCCCTGTTTGAGGAGACAGCTGTCGTCCCCGGGGTTCCTGTTTGAGGAGAGAGCCATCGTCCCAGGGGTCCCTGTTTGAGGAGACAGCTGTCGTCCCCGGGGTTCCTGTTTGAGGAGACAGCCGTCATCCTCGGGGTTCCTGTTTGAGGAGACAGCCGTCATCCGCGGGGTCCCTGTTTGAGGAGACAGCCGTCATCCGCGGGGTCCCTGTTTGAGGAGACAGCCGTCATCCCCGAGGTCCCTGTTTGAGAACACAGCCGTCGTCCTCGGGGTCCCTGTTTGAGGAGACAGCCGTCGTCCTCGGGGTCCCTGTTTGAGGAGACAGCCTTCGTCCCCGGGGTCCCTGTTTGAGAAGACAGCCATCATTCTTGGGGTCCCTGTTTGAGAAGACAGCCGTCGTCCTCGGGATTCCTGTTTGAGAAGACAGCCGTCATCCTCGGGGTCCCTGTTTGAGGAGACAGCCGTCGTCCCCGGGGTCCCTGTTTCAGGAGACAGCCATCGTCCCCGGGGTCCCTGTTTCAGGAGACAGCCATCGTCCCCGGGGCTCCTGTTTGAGGAGACAGCCGTCATCCCCGGGGTTCCTGTTTGAGGAGACAGCCGTCGTCCCTGGGGCTCCTGTTTGAGAAGACAGCCGTCGTCCTCGTGGTCCCTGTTTGAGGAGACAGCCGTCGTCCTCGGGGTCCCTGTTTGAGGAGACAGCCGTCGTCCCCGGGGCTCCTGTTTGAGGAGACAGCCGTCGTCCCCGGGGCTCCTGTTTGAGGAGACAGCCGTCGTCCTCGGGGTCCCTGTTTCAGGAGACAGCCGTCGTCCCCGGGGTCCCTGTTTGAGGAGACAGCCGTCATCCTCTGGGTTCCTGTTTGAGGAGACAGCCATCGTCCCCGGGGCTCCTGTTTCAGAAGACACCCGTCGTCCTCGTGGTCCCTGTTTGAAGAGACAGCCGTCGTCCTCGGGATTCCTGTTTGAGAAGACAGCCGTCGTCCCCGGGGTTCCTGTTTGAGGAGACAGCCGTCGTCCCTGGGGTCCCTGTTTGAGGAGACAGCCGTCGTCCCCGGGGTCCCTGTTTGAGGAGACAGCCGTCATTCTTGGGGTCCCTGTATGAGGAGACAGCCGTGATCCTCGGGGTCCTGTTTGAGGAGACAGCCGTCGTCCCCAGGGTCCCTGTTTGGGAAGACAGCCGTCATTCTTGGGGTCCCTGTTTGAGGAGACAGCTGTCGTCCCCGGGGTTCCTGTTTGAGGAGAGAGCCATCGTCCCAGGGGTCCCTGTTTGAGGAGACAGCTGTCGTCCCCGGGGTTCCTGTTTGAGGAGACAGCCGTCATCCTCGGGGTTCCTGTTTGAGGAGACAGCCGTCATCCCCGGGGTCCCTGTTTGAGGAGACAGCCGTCATCCGCGGGGTCCCTGTTTGAGGAGACAGCCGTCGTCCCTGGGGTCCCTGTTGGAGAAGACAGCCGTCATTCTTGGGGTCCCTGTATGAGGAGACAGCCGTGATCCTCGGGGTCCTGTTTGAGGAGACAGCCGTCGTCCCCAGGGTCCCTGTTTGAGAAGACAGCCGTCATTCTTGGGGTCCCTGTTTGAGGAGACAGCTGTCGTCCCCGGGGTTCCTGTTTGAGGAGAGAGCCATCGTCCCAGGGGTCCCTGTTTGAGGAGACAGCTGTCGTCCCCGGGGTTCCTGTTTGAGGAGACAGCCGTCATCCTCGGGGTTCCTGTTTGAGGAGACAGCCGTCATCCCCGGGTTCCCTGTTTGAGGAGACAGCCGTCATCCGCGGGGTCCCTGTTTGAGGAGACAGCCGTCGTCCCCGAGGTCCCTGTTTGAGAACACAGCCGTCGTCCTCGGGGTCCCTGTTTGAGGAGACAGCCGTCGTCCTCGGGGTCCCTGTTTGAGGAGACAGCCTTCGTCCCCGGGGTCCCTGTTTGAGAAGACAGCCATCATTCTTGGGGTCCCTGTTTGAGAAGACAGCCGTCGTCCTCGGGATTCCTGTTTGAGAAGACAGCCGTCATCCTCGGGGTCCCTGTTTGAGGAGACAGCCGTCGTCCCCGGGGTCCCTGTTTCAGGAGACAGTCATCGTCCCCGGGGTCCCTGTTTCAGGAGACAGCCATCGTCCCCGGGGCTCCTGTTTGAGGAGACAGCCGTCATCCCCAGGGTTCCTGTTTGAGGAGACAGCCGTCGTCCCTGGGGCTCCTGTTTGAGAAGACAGCCGTCGTCCTCGTGGTCCCTGTTTGAGGAGACAGCCGTCGTCCTCGGGGTCCCTGTTTGAGGAGACAACCGTCGTCCCCGGGGCTCCTGTTTGAGGAGACAGCCGTCATCCCCGGGGCTCCTGTTTGAGGAGACAGCCGTCGTCCCCGGGGCTCCTGTTTGAGGAGACAGCCGTCGTCCCCGGGGCTCCTGTTTGAGGAGACAGCCGTCGTCCCCGGGGCTCCTGTTTGAGGAGACAGCCGTCGTCCTCGTGGTCCCTGTTTGAGGAGACAGCCGTCGTCCCCGGGGCTCCTGTTTGAGGAGACAGCCGTCGTCCCCGGGGCTCCTGTTTGAGGAGACAGCCGTCGTCCTCGGGGTCCCTGTTTCAGGAGACAGCCGTCGTCCCCGGGGTCCCTGTTTGAGGAGACAGCCGTCATCCTCTGGGTTCCTGTTTGAGGAGACAGCCATCGTCCCCGGGGCTCCTGTTTGAGAAGACACCCGTCGTCCTCGTGGTCCCTGTTTGAAGAGACAGCCGTCGTCCTCGGGATTCCTGTTTGAGAAGACAGCCGTCGTCCCCGGGGTTCCTGTTTGAGGAGACAGCCGTCGTCCCTGGGGTCCCTGTTTGAGGAGACAGCCGTCGTCCCCGGGGTCCCTGTTTGAGGAGACAGCCGTCGTCCCCGGGGTCCCTGTTTGAGGAGACAGCCGTCGTCCCCGGGGTCCCTGTTTGAGGAGACAGCCGTCGTCCCCGGGATTCCGGTTTGAGAAGACAGCTGTCGTCCCCGGGGTTCCTGTTTGAGAAGACAGCCGTCGTCCTCGGGATTCCTGTTTGAGAAGACAGCCGTCGTCCTCGGGATTCCTGTTTGAGAAGACAGCCGTCATCCTCGGGGTCCCTGTTTGAGGAGACAGCCGTCATCCCCGGGGTCCCTGTTTGACAAGACAGCCGTCGTCCCTGGGGTTCCTGTTTGAGGAGACAGCCATCGTCCCCGGGGTCCCTGTTTGAGGAGACAGCCATCGTCCTCGGGGTCCCTGTTTGAGGAGACAGCCGTCGTCCTCGGGATTCCTGTTTGAGGAGACAGCCGTCGCCCTTGGGATTCCTGTTTGAGAAGACAGCTGTCGTCCTCGTGGCCCCTGTTTGAGGAGACAGCCGTCGTCCTCGGGGTCCCTGTTTGAGGAGACAGCCGTTGTACCCGGGGTCCCTGTTTGAGGAGTCAGCCGTCGTACCCGGGGTCCCTGTTTGAGAAGACAGCCGTCATTCTTGGGGTCCCTGTTTGAGGAGACAGCCGTCGTCCCCGGGGTTCCTGTTTGACGAAACAGCCGTCGTCCCCGGGGTTCCTGTTTGAGGAGACAGCCATCCTCCTCGGGATTCCTGTTTGAGGAGACAGCCGTCGTCCTCGGGATTCCTGTTTGAGGAGACAGCCATCATCCTCGGGGTCCCTGTTTGAGGAGACAGCCATTGTCCTCGGGGTTCCTGTTTGACGAAACAGCCGTCATCCTCGGGGTCTCTGAGGAGACAGCCATCGTCCTCGGGGTCCCTGTTTAACGAAACAGCCGTCGTCCTCGTGGTCCCTGTCTGAGGAGACAGCCGTCGTCCCCGGGGTTCCTGTTTGAGGAGACAGCCGTCGTCCCCGGGATTCCTGTTTCAGAAGACAGCCGTCGTCCCCGGGATTCCTGTTTGAGGAGACAGCCGTCGTCCCCGGGGTTCCTGTTTGAGGAGACAGCCGTTGTCCCCGGGGTCCCTGTTTGAGGAGACAGCCGTCGTCCCCGGGGTTCCTGTTTGAGGAGACAGCCGTCGTCCCCGGGGTTCCTGTTTGAGGAGACAGCCGTCGTCCCCGGGGTCCCTGTTTGAGGAGACAGCCGTCGTCCCCGGGGTCCCTGTTTGAGGAGACAGCCGTCGTCCCCGGGATTCCTGTTTGAGAAGACAGCCGTCGTCCCCGGGGTTCCTGTTTGAGGAGACAGCCGTTGTCCTCGGGGTCCCTGTTTGAGGAGACAGCCGTCGTCCTTGGGATTCCTGTTTGAGGAGACAGCCGTCGTCCTCGGGATTCCTGTTTGAGGAGACAGCCGTCGTCCTCGGGATTCCTGTTTGAGAAGACAGCCGTCGTCCTCGGGGTCCCTGTTTGAGGAGACAGCCGTCGTCCTCGGGGTCCCTGTTTGAGAAGACAGCCGTCATTCTCGGGGTCCCTGTTTGAGGAGACAGCCGTTATCCTTGGGGTCCCTGTTTGAGGAGACAGCCGTCGTCCCCGGGGTCCCTGTTTGAGAAGACAGCCGTCATTCTTGGGGTCCCTGTTTGAGGAGACAGCTGTCGTCCCCGGGGTTCCTGTTTGAGGAGACAGCCGTCGTCCCCGGGGTCCCTGTTTGAGAAGACAGCCGTCATTCTTGGGGTCCCTGTTTGAGGAGACAGCTGTCGTCCCCGGGGTTCCTGTTTGAGGAGACAGCCGTCGTCCCCGGGGTCCCTGTTTGAGGAGACAGCCGTCGTCCCCGGGGTTCCTGTTTGAGGAGACAGCCGTCGTCCCCGGGGTTCCTGTTTGAGGAGACAGCCGTCGTCCTCGGGGTTCCTGTTTGAGGAGACAGCCGTCGTCCTCGGGATTCCTGTTTGAGAAGACAGCCGTCGTCCTCAGCATTCCTGTTTGAGAAGACAGCCATCGTCCTCGGGGTCCCTGTTTGAGGAGACAGCCGTCGTCCCCGGGGCTCCTGTTTGAGGAGACAGCCGTCGTCCCCGGGGCTCCTTTTTGAGAAGACAGCCGTCGTCCCCGTGGTCCCTGTTTGAGGAGAGAGCCGTCGTCTCTGGGGTCCCTGTTTGAGGAGACAGCCGTCGTCCCCAGGGTCCCTGTTTGAGGAGACAGCCGTCGTCCCTGGGGTCCCTGTTTGAGGAGACAGCCGTCGTCCTCGGGGTCCCTGTTTGAGGAGACAGCCGTCGTCCCCGGGGTTCCTGTTTGAGGAGACAGCCGTCGTCCTCGTGGTCCCTGTTTGAGGAGACAACCGTCGTCCCTGGGGTCCCTGTTTGAGGAGACAGCCGTCATCCCCGGGGTTCCTGTTTGAGAAGACAGCCGTCGTCCTCGTGGTCCCTGTTTGAGGAGACAGCCGTCATCCCTGGGGCTCCTGTGTAAGGAGACAGCCGTCGTCCCCGGGGTCCCTGTTTGAGGAGACAGCCGTGGTCCCCGGGGTCCCTGTTTGAGGAGACAGCCGTCGTCCCCGGGGTCCCTGTTTGAGGAGACAGCCATCGTCCCCGGGGTTCCTGTTTGAGGAGACAGCCATCATCCTGGTGGTCCCTGTTTGAGGAGACAGCCGTCGTCCCCGGGGTCCCTGTTTGAGGAGACAGCCGTCGTCCCCGGGGTCCCTGTTTGAGGAGACAGCCGTCGTCCCCGGGGTTCTCTAGTGCTAAGGTGTTTTTTTCTCCTGGCTGCAGCTAACATTTTTCTCTTTTCCTTTAGTTTCAGCAGTTTGATTATGATGTGACTTAATATGGTTTTCTCCAGTTTTATACTTCATGGAGTTTGATAAGCCTATTGAATCTTGGGTTAATGTCTCTTACCAATTTTGGAAAATTGGCTATTATCCATCAAAATAATATTGCTCCTATCCCATTCTCACCCTTCTCCTGGGATTCCAATACACATGTTAGACAGTTGGATCAGTACCATATGGCCCTCTCCTCTCTGTCTCTGTCTCTCTCTGTGCATGTGTGTATGTGGGTGTGTGTGTTTGTGTACTTTTAATTCTATCTTTTGTCTGTGCTTTATTTTGGATAATTTCTATGGACCTTTCTGAAACTTCATCAATCCTTTTTGCTACTATATGTTTAGTCTGCTCTTAAGCCCATCCAATGAGTTCTTAATTTCAGGTATTATATTAATTGGTTAATATAATAAACACTTATTTTTATTATTTATTTTATTTTTAATAACAAATAATGAGCACTTATTTTCATAGCTTTCATCTCTCTGTTGAAATTCTCCATCTTTTCATCCATTTTGTTCATCCTTTCCTCCATCTCATTTCATGTATTTACAAGAATATTGTAAAGCATTTGTCTGCTAATTCTTTCATCTGGGTTATCTGTGCGTCTGCTTCTATTGAATAGCTTATCTCTTGGTTGAAAATCACACTCTCCTGTAATTCTTATAATTTTTGGTAGTGTGCTAGAAATTATATGCAAAAGAACCAAGAAACATCAGTCTCTCCCCGCAGGTAGAGCTCTGCCGATGACTAACCCGCCCTCAGCACCATTCAGCTCCACTGCGAGAAAGGGGCCCCCCAAGACTGGCAGTTCCTTCAGATTTGCACCCACCATTTTCCAATGCATTTGAAAGAAATGATAATTTTTGTACATAATTCCATTTTTTCTCATTGTTGAAATAGAAAGGTTGGCTTCACACTCTTTCCTCATGCTAACTGGACGTGAAAATCTTGTCTTTTTGCATTACAAAATCTGGGAGTTATTTGTTATTATGACTCATTTTTTTCATTTACATTATTCATCTGTGGATCTTTTTTCCTTATTCAGTCTTGCCAGATATTTGTCTAATTTTTGTTCCTTCAAACACACAGCCATGGCTGTGCTGATTTTTCTGTTTTGTTAATAGGCATTCTCAGTCCTGTCTCTTTTCTTCAGTTGAGTTTTGAAATGTGGAGGTTGGACCCTGAGCTTGCTAACTTCAGGCTTCCCACCAGTTTCCCCCTAATAACTCCAGCATTGATCACCTAAGAAAAAAGTCTCCCTCCTACTCACCAAATATCACTCTAATGGCTGAGAACATTATTAATTCAAAAATAAGGCCAGGCACGGTGGCTCACGCCTGTAATCCCAGCACCTTGGGAGGCCGAGGAGGGTGGATCATCTGAGGTCAGGGGTTCAAGACGAGCCTGGGCAACATGATGAAACCCCGTCTCTACTAAAAATACAAAAAGTAGCCAGGCGTGGTGGTGCACAACTGTACTCCCAGCTACTTAGGAAGCTGAGACAGGAGAATCACTTGAGCCCGGGAGACAGAAGTTGCAGTGAGCCAAGATCACGTCACTGCACTCCAGCCTGGGCAACAGAACAAGACTCAATCTCAAAGAAAAAAAGAATTTAACCTTTCTTATTTCCCAATGCAAATATATAGGGTTAGATTTTTCTCAGGTACAGCTTTTACTGCAGCCCAATAGTTTTGATAGTAGTATCTTAGTTTTAATCATTTCTAGGTATTTTAATTTCCAATATGACTTCTTCTTTAACTGTGGTTTATTAGAATAGTGGTTTTCAATGTTTTAACATGTGTAACTATGTCACTGATGCTTTTGTTATGAACGTCTGTGCTGGGTCAGAGAATATTGTCAGTGTGGTAAATGTGTCAGTTTGAAAATGATAACAAAATCCTTGCTCACTGTTGCCTTGAAAAAAAATGAAAATGATAACAATCTGTACCTTTAGGACAAAATGAAAGTACCGGACTCTCTGGTTCAAGAGCTCCCTGGTGCCTGTGTGTTTGACTGATTTTGTGAACCAGAAGGATTGTGCACCGGGGAGACCATTCAGGCTTACTGATGTCACTAAACCCAAAGTCAGAAACAGAACACAATTGCACACAGCTGTCCGTCTAAGAAAGACAGCACCTGATGAATTGCTCAGGCACAGGGAGTGAGGGGCCAGAGTGTGAGGCCCCCACTGCTGACCCAATTCTCTTAGCACCCCCACACCTCTCTGGGGTGCCACTGTTGTTCCTCCTGGGAGCCCTGTCAGCAGCAGAGAGGGGTCTCGCTGGGGACGCCCAGACACCTATCCCCAGATTAAGACAGGGCAAGGAGAAGACCTGTTCCCAGGGAGAGCTGTGCATGGAGCCCCCAAGGCAGGGCCAGGAACTGGAGTGTGAAAGAAGCCAAGTCACCAAAACTATGTAGAGTCAAAAGGGCTAAAGCTCCACAGCCCTAAGAATCAGACACTCAAACCAGGGTTCCACATGGCAAGGGGAGGAGAAAGGCAAGCAAGTTATGACCTGGGCAGAGCCAGGAGGGGCGAGCAAGAAACTGGCCAGGCCCTACACGTGTGCCTGGGGCAAATGGTTACGATCTGAGCTTCCCAACAGCCAAGGTGAGAGGGAAAAAGGGTCAGAGGTATAAGTGTAGCGGGAGCACGATGATCTTCAGTGTCAACAATTCAGCCTGGCAGTCCATAGCAAGAGCACAGGGATGGAGACTGTGGGACTCATTCAGGACACCACTCGGGGAGGCCTCTGGACATCACGCCAAGATCCCCTTCACTGGAAAAATTCCACAGTGTGTTTCCGTCCGTGCCTACGCCGGGGTTGGCGCACATACCCACACAGCAGCTTGCTGGCACCCAGCTCTCTGACAGTGAATACAATAAGGGCAGGAAGGAAGGTCATCCACTTCATCTAAACAGGAAGCTTGCACATTTTCCTGATTGAGATCTACACTTTAAAAAGTTAATAAATATATCCACACCCAAAACACTGACACACATAACATTTACGTAACATATTCACATAGATTTATAACCGATAAACATATTTACAACATAAAACATAAATATAAAATACGAAATAAAATACCAAACATACTTATAACACATATATTTGTATATCTAAAACATTATATACACACATATATACACAAGCAAAAATATATAAGCATAAATAAAACACATTTTTATTTAAATTACTTTCTTCATTAAAATATATGTGTCCTAATTGTGCATAATGTACTCTGATCTTTATTATTCAATTCAATTCTATTCTTTCATCTTCTAGAACATACAAACATGGTTCCTATTCACCAGCTGGGTTTTATGACCCGGGCTCCTTGGACAGCGCTGCTCCCAGCACCGCTCAGAAGCAGTGCAGAGTGCAGGCCGAGGCTCCGTGCGGCTGAGCCGGGCTTGAATTCAGCCCTCTACCTATTACCTGGGTGATCCTGAATCAGGGCAACAACCATCCTGGTTTGCCCAGCACCGAGGGCTTCCCAGGTCGCAGGACTTTGGTGCTAAAATTGGGACATTGATCCCCCATCATGAAGCCAACTCCTCAGGTCTCTGTTCCATTTTATTATTTTTAGAATTGGACTTATTGTACCCACCTCCTAGGATTGAAATCAGGCCAGAAATGAAGAATGTTGATAGAATAAACACTTGACAAACGTCACTGGGGCCTGTGGGCTGTGCTCGTACAGGCCTCTCTGCTGCCAGATGTACACTGGCTCACACACCTGGACAGGTGTTGGAGTCTGGGGCCAGCGGGGTGGGGGCTCCTGACAGAGACCACCAGGAACAAGCAAGCCCTTAACAAGGAGGTGGCCTTGCCTCTCCTGGGCAACTGCAGGACCAAGTCAGGGAACCGTGGAGGCGAAGACCGCAGAGCCATGCCCCCGCCCTCAGACCCAAATCTTTGCTCTGGGCTGTTTTGAAGCCTGTCCATGAACTGTACTCATTCCAGGGGTGCCTCCAGGAACAGCCACAGGCTGTGCCCGCCAGGGAGCTGGAGTGATACGTGATGGGGATAACTGCATGACCCAGCAAAGTATCCTGGGAACACCAGGCCTGCACCCGCCCACCCTGCTGACCACAGGCTGACTGACCCTTTCCCGTCCCTGGTTAGTCCCCACCACCTCCAGGGGCTGCTGTGTCTGGGAGTTAATTCATGAAGGAGAGAAGAAATGAGGCCAGGAGCACAGCTGGATGCAGTACTGAGGAACTTGGTCAGCCCTGGGGAGGGCCAGTCCCTTCTCGTGAGCACTGAAAGCTGTGTGGCTCTGAGCACGGCCCTCTCGGCCGTGGCTGCCCCAACACCCTGTCATCAGCCACAGGCTCAGATGAGTCTCTGCAGATCCCTCAGCCACTTCCTTTGAGACCTGTGTGTTCCTTCCAGCCTCCAACCTCCAACTACCACCTGGACTCCTTTATTGCATGTGCCTCCAATGCCGATGTTCTTTTGATTTTTCTTTTTGATTTTTGACTCTGCAGATTTCACAGTGCCAAATTCATTCAAATCAATCACAGTGAGAATGGCAAATGAAAAAATGCACATGATAAACAAATTGCATATGGCCCCTCCCCTCCAAACAACTTCCATCCCGTGCCCTCTAAGCCCACCCCCAAAACAGCCCTGATCCACACACAGGCTGGGCGGCAGAAAGGGCTGGAGCATCAGAGGACAAAGGGAGCAGAGGACGCTGAGCCCGGACAGGCAGGGGTCAGAGGGCAGGGCCCGTCTGGGGCATCCCTAGAGCATGCACCAGGGGAAACAGGAACGGGACAGTCCTGCTGGGTGGGCCACTATGTGGACGCAGGGGAAATGGCCCCACCTGGCTGCACACTCACTCTCCGACTGGCACTTTCTCTCCCAGCAGCCGTTACTGGAAAGGCCACAGCAGGGGAGGGGCTTGCTGGTCTGCAGTGCGGGAGAGGATGCGGAGGCCCTGGAGGTGGTGGGCAGCAGTCACGCTGGGGCCAGGGGCAGCCCTTCGCAACCACCTTATGGGTAGCAGTTACCCCTTTCTTCTTTCCGAGACCTACCTCCTGCAAGACCCCTGAGGGCAGGTGACTGGGCCGGTTCACTGCTGCAGACCCAGGGTCCAGCCCTGCTTGTCATCATACATGCTCAAAAGGATGTCATTCAGGAAATGAAGGCAGGAAGCAGAAAAGAGCAAACCTGACACGGGGTGAAAGCTGTGTGACCACCTGGGCTGGAGGGAAGGGCTCCGAGGAGGAAAGTGGCTCGGTGGTCCTCCAGACTGAGGACAGCATTTCCTGACATCACCTGGGTCCGGCAGGGCCCTGTGCCCCCGGTGAGGCGGGAGAGGGTGTGACAGTACCTCCGGAGGGGAGAGCTGGGTGCCCACCAACCGGGATGTCCATGCTGTTGGGTTCCAGCGGCCCAGTGAGAACACGGGTCAACTCCCTTGGCTCCCGGGGAAAAAACAGAATAAAGAATAGGACCAAGGGAAGACTCAGTGTAGGAGGCAGATGAGTCTAGTGAGGAGGGCGCAGGTCTATGCTATGACGGGGGCGGCCTCACACTCTGCATCCAGGACCTACATGGGGCCGAGCAGATGCTGCAAAAGAAATTGGAACCACAGCCTCCAACGGGCCCAGGGACGCTTTAGCACTCGACAGACCCGGCTGGGCCCCAGCCTCACCTGTGGGAGGACGAAGTGTGGGAGGACAGAGCTGGGAGGCAGCCTGCACAGGAGCCGTTTTTCCAGGGCACCAGTCTTCAAAGGCCGGGACTCAGCCCCCTGCAGGTCCCAGAAATTTGGCAGGAGTCCTGGAGCTGCAGCTCCCAACCCCTGCGGCAGCTCCAGGCTCCTGTAAGGCTATGGGAGCACGCCCTGCTTTCCTCTGGGCGACTGAGCCAGCCTGAGGGGCCCCTGGAGGCGCCTGCCCTTCTCCTCCCTTCTCCCCTCCTCCCAGGCCACCCCTGCCAGGGGAAAGCGCTCCAAGCACTCTAGAAAGAACGAAGATTATGTGCCTGTGGCCTAACCATCCCCGCCAACCTCATTTGCCCTTAACTATGCTCCTTCCTGGATCTGCCTGGCCGGCTCCTGTTCCATCTCAGGTTGTCCAAACCTCACCTGCGCCCCAGGGTCCCTACTCCGCCTCCTCCCTCTCCCTCCTCCTCCGCTTTGAAGCCTCTTCCCTCCCCCGTCTGCTTCCAAATCCAGACCACTCCTGCCCCACCCCAGGGAAAGGGTCGTCCCGCCCTCCGCGCCCTTTGAGGTGCTCAGGGCCCTCTGGGTCTCCTTCAGCCTCCGTGGGTCCCTGAGTCAGGAACCAAATCTGGCCCCACGTTCCCCAAGGCGCGGAGGCTGGGATCCGTGATTGGGGTTGACCCCCTCCTCCCCGGCCTCGGGCTATTTTCCGCAGGAGGCCGCTGCAGGCAGACGCTGAGGCCCTCGGGGACCCCGGAGCCGCCCCAGTACAAGAGCCCCGAGGAGGGGCTGGCCGGTCCCGCCCCCTCGGTCCCAGGGCTGACTCCTCCTCCAGGACGCAGATCCCTGCAGCCCGGCAGGAGAGAAGGTGCTGGGAGAGGGGTCCGGACTGTGGGCCGGGGGCTGGGATGAGGGTCGGGCGAGAACGGGCTCCGAGGGTTTAGAAAGAGAGATTGGAAGGGGGACCAAAGGCAGAGGGCCCAGGGAGAGGGAATGCGGGGAAGGGAGGAGAGCGAGCGTCGGGAGCAGGAGCCTGGGGGTGGGGGTTGCCCTCGGTGAAGCCCAGTCCAGGAGCGCAGGAGGCTGGAGGTGGGGGACGTCCTGGGTGAAGCCGCGTCCGGGAGCGCAGGAGGCTAGTGTGGGATGGGGGGTGCGCCCTGAGTAAAGCCCCGTCCGGGAGCAGGAAGCTGGGGAGGGGGCTCTCTGGGTGAAGCCTCCCGCAACACCCACCTCACCCCACTCAGGCTGAGCCTTCTGGCGTCATGGAGAGGCTCGTCCTAACCCTGTGCACCCTCCCGCTGGCTGTGGCGTCTGCTGGCTGCGCCACGACGCCAGGTAAGGCGCGGCCCGGGCTGGGCTGGGGGCGTCGGGGCTGGAGCTGCGGACGCTGGTCCACAGCGCCCCGCTTGCTGCCCACAGCTCGCAACCTGAGCTGCTACCAGTGCTTCAAGGTCAGCAGCTGGACGGAGTGCCCGCCCACCTGGTGCAGCCCGCTGGACCAAGTCTGCATCTCCAACGAGGTGGTCGTCTCTTTTAGTGAGTCCCCCCCGGGCAGAGGGCAGGTGCCAGGTGCCGGGGAAGGGCCGGTGCCCCCGCCTCTCAGCGACTTAGCTATGAGTCCTCGGCGCTCCAGGGCCTGGGGCCCTGTGGGTCCGAAAGTGCCTCCTGCTGTCTCTCCCGCGCTGGGCTCGGGCGAGCATCCCAGAGTGTGAATTTTGACTTTTTTCTCCTCCATTTGAAGTGTCACTAGGAACTGTCAGCAGGACAAAGGCTCTGATGTCACTGAATTTACAAAGACAGCAGGAACACACGGGTGGGGATGGGCAGCTGTTCGAGGCGATGGGTTATCTGCCCTTCCTGGCACAGCACAGTACACCTGCCATACAACCCAGCATCAGGCAGGCTGCACTGGAATCGATACAGTGTATGACAATGTCATATAGTATAACACAACATAATGAATATAACGTGTATATTGCAACTTAATATAATACGATGTAATATAATGCTACATAATACAACATAATATAATAAAATAGAATGCAACACAACACACCGTAACACTCTATGACACATAAGGGCGATTGATTCCACCCAAGCTCTTTTCTCAACAGTTTGGGTTTTGATGCTGTGCATCTCTTCAGGGGTTCCATGGTTGTTGACAGACACGTCCGTCAGAAAGTCTCTGCCATGTCTTTAAGTGAGCAGTACAGAGAAACGAGCCCAGGGCTGGGCACCCAGCCCAGCAGGTTCTCCGTGATGGGCAGCCCCTTTCCACTGCTCTGAGTCACCCCATCTCCCGACGACGCACATGCCCCGGGGCCGGCAGGGGTGGTCCAGGCTGTGCATGGCTTCGGGAGAAGGCCCCTTACAGCCAGTTGCCCTGGAGTCTGTATTTGCTGTGCCGCGGGCGGAGGTGGCCTGGGCAGCCAGGATCCCCAGCTCTGCAGCGCCTCACCCAGTAAAGGACAGGAGAAGGTGGTCTCTTGGCTGTCCTCGCAGGGCCAGGTTACGTGCTCTAGCTCTTTCTGGTCCCGGCTGCTCCTTTGGAAAGCATCCTTGCACTTTCCGCATAACTGTGGATACCTCCTTGCTGGGGCTCTGGGGCCACCTGCCTCTCCTCTTTTCTGCAGAATGGAGTGTACGCGTCCTGCTCAGCAAACGCTGTGCTCCCAGATGTCCCAACGACAACATGAAGTTCGAATGGTCGCCGGCCCCCATGGTGCAAGGCGTGATCACCAGGCGCTGCTGTTCCTGGGCTCTCTGCAACAGGGCACTGACCCCACAGGAGGGGCGCTGGGCCCTGCGAGGGGGGCTCCTGCTCCAGGTGGGCCTCAGCCTCCTCAGGGCCCTGTTGTGAGGGCCCTCCCTTTACGCCCCCTCCTGGCCCTGCTGGCCCATCCCGTCTCCTGCCTCCAACTGCCATCCTGCCTCCGCCCCTTCCAGGACACTGGGGGGGGACCCTCCCTCTCTGAGGTGGTGGGGAGGGTGCCATTGCCTCCATCCCGGATCTAGCCACCTCACTCCTCCCCACCGGGGGCCCCTTTGCTGGAGAACCCCAAGGATTCAGCAACTGCTCCTCCTGGGGAAGGACAGTGCCTCTGATGTGGGTGATGGGAAGGACGGTGCCTCTGATGTGGGTGATGGGAAGGACGGTGCCTCTGGTGTGGGTGATGGGAAGGACGGTGCCTCTGGTGTGGGTGATGGGAAGGACGGTGCCTCTGGTGTGGGTGATGGGAAGGACGGTGCCTCCGGTGTGGGTGATGGGAAGGATGGTACCTCCGGTGTGGGTGACGGGAAGAATGGTGCCTCCAGTGTGGGTGATGGGAAGGATGGTGCCTCTGATGGGCAATGGGGAAGGATGGTGCCTCCGGTGTTGGGTGATGGGGAAGGACGGTGCCTCTGGTGTTGGTGGTGGGAAAGACAGTGTCTCTGGTGGGCGATGGCCCCTTGCATGAGGCCCCTTGCCCTGAATGCTGTCCAGGACCCTTCGAGGGGCAGAAGAACCTGGGTGCGGCCACAGCTGGGGCTCCCACTCTGCCTTCCCATTTCCAGCCCCCTCTGCCCAAGGGAAACCCAGGAAGGATAACACTGTGGGTGCCCCCACCTGTGCATTGGGACCACGACCTTCACCCTCTTGGAGACAATAAACTCTCATGCCCCCATGGTGCTCATTCCTTCCTTCTCCTCCCCGTCCACCCGCCCTGCCCAGCCCTCAACAAAGGGCTCTGAGGGTGGGTACCGGTGACCACTGGAGCAGCCAGATCTGCAAAAAACCTTCCAGCTGGGAGGTTGAGGATAAGGACTGTCCCTGCAGCCTGTCGGGCACCTGTAATCCCAGCTAGCTACTTGGGAGGCTGAGGCAGGAGAATCGCTTGAACCTGGGAGGCGGAAGTTGCAGTGGGCCAAGATCACGCCACCTCACTCTAGCCTGGGTGACACAGTGAGACTCCATCTCATGTCTTCTCATGGCTTGTTACCTTATCTCTTTTTATCCCTGAACAATATTCCACCATCTTCATGCAGCACTATTTGTTTAACCACTCACCTATCAAAAGACATCTTGTTGCTTCCAAGCATTGGCAATTATGAATGAAGCTACGGTAAACGTCCACGTTCAGGTTCTTATGTGGACATCAGCCTTCAACCCCTCTGTTTAAATGCCACGGAACACAATTGCCGGAGCTGCCGAGAAGCCTCTGTGTAGCTGTGTAAGAAACTTCACACCTGTCTTCCACGGCAGCCGCACCATTTTGCACCCTCACCGGCAATGACGGGGAGTGCCCGTCGCTCTGCATCCCAGCCAGAAACTGATATTGTCAGTGTTCTGGATTTCAGTCACTTAAAAAGTGGTGCTGGTGTCTCGTAGGTGTGTTCATTTGCAATTCCCTGTTCCCAGAGCCTCGTTCTGTCTGCTTACTTGCCAGCAGCGGATCTTTGGTGAGGTGTCTGGTCAGATGCTTTCTTCATTTTTTATGTTCTTCTTGAGTTTGTTTGTTTGTTTGTTTTTAAATACAGACAGGGTCTTCCTATGTTGCCCAGGCTCATCTCAAACCCTTGGACTCAAGGAATCTGCCTGCCTCAGGCTCCCAAAGTGCTGGGATTACACTTTGGGAGCCTGAGGCTGGCAGATCCTTTGAGCCCAAAAGAAACAGGTTGAGCCACCAAGCCCAATCTGTCGATTTTTTTAATCAATTTTTTTTTAATTTTAGGGATTATGTTTTCAGTTTTGTATCTAAAAACTCATCACCAAACCCAGGGTCAGATCAATTTTCTCCTGCATTTTCTTCTAGGAGGTTTATAGTTTTGCATTTTGCATTCAGGCCTATGGTCCTTTTTAGTTAGTTTTTGTGAAAGGTATAAGATTTGTGTCTGGATTAGTTTTTTTTGTTGTTGTTGTTTTTTGTTTGTTTTTTTCATGTGGATTTTCAATTTTAACACATCATTTTTTATATATAAATTTATTTTAAAAAATAACAATTGCAGCAACATTGATAATCAATCACCCATACTCCCCCTACTGATAGAGAAAAAAACCTTCTATATAGTTGAGTAACAAAGGAAAATCAAGACCTTTTATCAGACCCCCTACAGCCAGAAATGGCGATGCTGTCCCCAGCGGGGCAGACCTGACACATTCAATGTCCCAGGGTAGCACACCAGCCCAGTGGTGTAGACCTGACACATTCAACGTCTCAGGGTAACACACCAGCCCAGTTGTGTAGACCTGCCACGTTCGACGTCCCAGGGTAACGCACCAGCCCAGTGGTGTAGACCTGCCACGTTCGACGTCCCAGGGTAACGCACCAGCCCAGTGGTGTAGACCTGCCACGTTCGACGTCCCAGGGTAACGCACCAGCCCAGTGGTGTAGACCTGCCACGTTCGACGTCCCAGGGTAACGCACCAGCCCAGTGGTGTAGACCTGCCACGTTCGACGTCCCAGGGTAACGCACCAGCCCAGTGGTGTAGACCTGCCACGTTCGACGTCCCAGGGTAACGCACCAGCCCAGTGGTGTAGACCTGCCACGTTCGACATCCCAGGGTAACGCACCAGCCCAGTGGTGTAGACCTGATGTGTTCGACGTCCCAGGGTAACGCACCAGCCCATGGTGTAGACCTGACGTGTTCAATGTCCCATTGTAACACACCAGCCCATGGTGTAGACCTGACGTGTTCAGTGTCCCAGGGTAACACACCAGCCCATGGTGTAGACCTGACGTGTTCAACGTCCCAGGGTAACGCACCAGCCCATGGTGTAGACCTGACGTGTTCAACATCCCAGGGTAACACACTTCCCATGCACCATGTTCTCTGACCATGTGTATTTAAATTGAATGTTTATGATGAAGATAAACTTTAACATTTCAAATATGGGAAATTTAATTAACATTTCAGTTAGTTCGTCTGTTAAAGAAGAAA
The DNA here is from genome assembly GCF_000001405.40 of Homo sapiens. Classification (NCBI taxonomy): domain Eukaryota; kingdom Metazoa; phylum Chordata; class Mammalia; order Primates; family Hominidae; genus Homo; species Homo sapiens. Next base: position 81,278 of record NT_187573.1, read on the forward strand.
CTATAATAGGCTTCTTAAAAATTCCTTGAGCTGCGTGGTAACAAAAATCAGAACCAGCTTTTGTTTTAAATGAGAGTGGTGCTTTGAGGAAAACGTATAGACTTAAGGCCTTGTGTTAGAAAGGAAGAGGGGCTGAAAATTAAGAAACCTTGTATTCAGGTCTAGAACCTTGAGAAGAACAACAAATTAAACCCAGGGAGTTCTGAAGGAAAATGTCCCCCCAAAAGGTGTTATTAAAGAAATCAGAAACCAAAATAAACTAAAATAGAGAAGATCCACAAAGTCAACAGATGCGCAAAATGGTGACATTGCTGGCAAGACTGAGAATGAGATGGAAGGGGAAACACAGATAAATGGCTTGAGTGGTTAAAGAGGCTGAACCGTTCCAGCCACCCATTCATGCAAAATCCCAGGAAGTGGAAATTGAATTCAAGTGGTGGGAAGTGGATCAGTGGTTGCCTGGAGCCGGATGTGGATGGGGGGCCGTGTCACTCATGGCGGGCGCCTGTTGGGAGAGGCAAGTGTGATGAGCATGGTGGTGGGTATGTGGTGTGTAAATTTACCAACATTCATTGAGCTGACCACTTAAAATGGGTGCTTTTTGTTGTGTGTAAATCACACTTCAGTAAAATTGATCGAACTGTCACAAGAAGCCAGGTTGGGTGGTGCATGCCTGTGGTCCCAGCTACTGGGGAGGCTGAGGTGGGAGGATTGCCTGAGCCCAGGAGGTGAAGGCTGCAGTGAGCCGAGATCGCACCACTGCACTCCAGCCCAGACAGCAGAATGAGACCCTGTCTCAGAAAAATAAATAAAAATAAAATAAATGATCACAACAGACATTTTGCATACCTGTATGGAATAAGTTTGAAAATTTAGATGAAATGAAGTGTTTCTAGTAAAAACATAATTTGCCAAATTGGGCCCAAGAAGTAAAGTTTCCAAGTTCCTTTTACAAGGCAAGCATCACACTGATAGCCAAACATGATAAAGATGATACCAAAAAGGAAAATATAGCACTTTTATATATCAGTGCAATAATCTTAAATAAAATATTAGCAAGACAAATTCAGTAGCACATTGGACAATAACATGATTGTGTGCACACACGTGTGCATGCGTGTGTGTGCATGTGTGTGTGTGTGAACCCTGAAGCCAGAAACTCACTGTATGGGAAAGTACTGGCTGCGGTTCCACTAATGCACTAAGACCAGGACAGACACTGTCATTTTTTAAACATTGCAGTGGAGACAAAAGCAAAGAAAAATAGAGGAGAAAGCAATTGGAGGCAAAAGATTTGAGGAAAATACAATCTATTTGCTGCTGACCCATCTACCTCAAAAACTCTTTCTAAAGAAAGCCCTGGCTGGGCACGGTGGCTCACACTTGTAATCCCAGCACTTTGGGAGGCTGAGGCGGGCAGATCACGAGGTCAAGAGATCAAGACCAGCCTGGCCAACATGGCGAAACCCTGTCTCTAATAAAAATACAAAAAATTAGCTGGGTGTGGTGGCGGGCACCTATAATCCCAGCTACAGGCGCCTATAATCCCAGCTACTCAGGAGGCTGAAGTGGGAGAATCACTTGAACCCAGGAGGCGGAGGTTGCAGTGAGCCAAGATTGTGCCACTGTATTCCAGCCTGTATGACAGAGTGAGACTCCGTCAAAAAAAAAAAAAAAAAAAAAAAAGGAAAAAAGCCCTAATGGAGCAATGCTAAGACTAGAAAATTCAATAAAATCATTCAATGAGGTAGTAGAATATGAAATTAAAGTGAAAACCAACAGCCTTTTTATATAGAAGCAAGAACTAACTACAAGATATAATGGAAGAGAAAACCTCATTTACAATTGGGGAGAAAATCCAATGCTTAAAAATAAATTGGATTTCAAAACGTGCAAAATCTAAGGGAGTAAAATTCAATGCACTCCTGCGAGATGCACCTGGAGCCTTGAGCCATTGTAAAGCTGTTCCTTGTTCTCTAACGGCACCAATGCCATTAGACATCAGTCCTCCCTAATTTATGAAATGTTTTCATTTAATGTGATTGCTATAAAAATCATGATTTCTTTTTATTGAACAAGACATGTTGAAAGATATGCAAACAAAAACATTCAAGATTGGTTAGGAAAATTCTGAAAAAAAGTTGAGTTATTAATGGGTTAGTACTACCAGAGATTAAAACACACCAAAAAAACCCTCAAAAATTAAAACGATGTGGTGTCTTCATGCTAATGAATAATCAAGTGAAGTAGACTAGAAAGACCAGAAATATACCCAAGAATGCATGGAAACTCTGTGTACAATACGGGGAGAATCTCAAATCTCTGGATCAAAGATAAACTTGTTAAAATAATTGATGTGTGAACAAATGAATGGATTCTTGGAAGAAGTCAAATAGGATCTCTACCCATGCATCCACATAGCAGACATAAGAATTAATGTTAAACAACCAAAGTGTAGAAATACCAAAAGAAATGATACGTGAATATCTTTTTTTTTTTTCAAGATGGAGTCCTGCACTGTCACCCAGGCTGGAGTGCAGTGGCGCAATCTCGGCTCACTGCAACCTCCGCCTCCTGGGTTCAAGCGATTCTCCTGCCTCAGCCTCCCGCGTAGCTGGGATTACAGGCACCCGCCACCATGCCCAGCTAATTTTTTGTATTTTTAGTAGAGACGGTGTTTCACCATGTTGGCCAGGCTGGTCTCGAACTCCTGACCTTGTGATTCGCCCACCTCAGCCTCCCAAAGTGCTGGGATTACAGGCATGAGACACCATGCCCGGCTGTGAATATCTTTACAACCTCAGTGTGGAGAAAGACTTCCTAAATTTAATTCAATCGAAATGCAAAAAAGAAAAGATTGACTAATTTGACTCTATAAAAATATAGATATTTTGTATGAGGTGCACATGGGCACACACACACACAAACAAACACATACCAGGGAGTTATAAAGAACTCTTAATTGGGGGAGGTAGGCAAACGCCAAAAGCTTAATAGAAAATATGAGCAACATACACAAACATTAGCAACAATGATATAAAATACCACTTAAACATAAGGAAAAATGTTGCCCTTCACTTGTGGAAGAAATGCAAATGAAAACAGCCCTAGGGATGTTGACGTTGGGGTGGCACCTGCTGCAGAGGGTAACGTGCAGCATGTCGAGGGCAGCACTGCCAAGGCTGGTTTGAGCTCAAGGTCAGGTGGAGGAGGTAGTCTCTCCCATCTCTTCTGCTGAGTGCAGCTCTAAACCCTGCCTGAAACACGTGGAGAAGCTATCTGAGCTGCCTCCAGGACACATGCAAATGGACACTCTGATCATAAAATTATCAGGAAGATTGAGAAATAAGACAAAAATGTGAGGTGCCACCAAACCAGTGGAAAGTTTTCCCTTTTCATTCCTCTGGCATTCCCTGGCCTTGACTCAAGGCAGCCCACACTCTAGGAGCAGACACCAGGGCACAGGTGGGGAGCTCTGGGGGACCCCTCCAGGGCTTACTCAGTGAATGGGTTAGCAGCAGCCACAGGAGCCACCATGGAGCCTGCAGGGACCCACAACACTGAGGGCAGGGATCTTGCCTCTAATCAGATAAGCTGTGATTCCGAGAGGGTGGGGTAAAGGCCACGGGTCTTTTTCTCTCCACATCTTCCCACGTCATGACCCCAGAGGGGGTCGAAGAGGGAGAAAGTGTGAGCACCGTGACATAATGAGCCGCAGCCTTCTGACTAGATGCCCCAAAGAAGAATCCCAGGTGACCACACAGCATCAGAGAAACTGCAGGTAATGAGGAACTTTGGAAAGCAATCCATCGTGTTGTCAGTAAAACCTCTGGCTCACTCCCGAGCTGGGCATGCATGGATGTGACCCTCGATGGAATAGACTATGAGAACCAGGTGAGGGGATCTACCTCCACCGAGACGTGAGAGTGACCTGCATACCCAAACACCATGAGGCTTTAAAGACTGAGCTGATGTGGAAGCCACAGCCTCTGCAGGTTGCTCTGCACTTGCAACATAAGCCCAACCACATCAATTGCTGCTAAAACAAAACTAGCAGCATTCTCCATACCACTTAAATAAGACACAGAGTCTCACAACATTCAAAACGCCCAGGACACAATCCAAAATTACTTCTACAAAAAATCAGGAAAATCTCAATGAGCAAGGAAAATGGCAATCAGTAGCTGCCAGTGCTGAGATGACATGAGGGTTGGAATCACCAACATCTTTAAAGTAATTATCATAAGCATTCTCTAGCAAGTAATGGCAAACACTCTTGAGATAAATGGAAAGATAAGAAGGCTCAGGGAGAAAGTGGAATGTACAAAGAATGACCAAGTGGGAATTGCACCACTGGAAACATAATCACCAGGATAAAGCAGTCTCTGGCTGGGCCAACAGGAGAATGGAAATGAAAAGGGAAAGAGTTGTTATGGCAGTTGTCCAATTTGAACAACACAAAAGACACTGATTTAAAAAAAAATGAGGCAGGGCTCAGTGGCTCACACCTATAATCCCAATACTTTGGGAGGCCGAGGCAGATGTATCACCTGAGGTCAGGAGTTCAAGACTACCCTGGCCAACATGGCAAAATCCCATCTCTACTGAAAATACAAGAATTAGCTGGGCATGGTGGCAGGTGCCTGCAATCCCAGCTACTCAGGAGGCTGAGGCAGGAGAATCACTTGAACTCGGGAGGTAGAGGGTGCAGTGAGCCAAAATCGCACCTCTGCATTCCAGCCTGGGTGACAGAGGGAGACTCTGTCTCAAAACAAAACAAAACAAAAAATGAACAGCACCTCAGGAACAATACCAAAAAGTCCAACAGCTGTATAATTGGTGGCCCAGAAGGAGAGGAGAAAGAGTGGAGTACAGAAATGAGATCTGAAGAACTAATGACTGATAATGTTTCAATTTTGAAAAAGGACATAAACCTAAAGATTATAGATTCAAAAGCCCAGTGAATTCAAATAGGATAAATACAGATGCAGATATATTATCATTAAACTGTTGAAATAAATTGGTTTTGTCACAAGCCAGCATTGTCACTGTGGGAGAAAAGAGATCAAAAGTACACAAGGAAGGAAGGAAATACAGAATATTATGGCCATGGGAAAGAGGTGTCAGTGTGAATACATAGAACAGCACACTTAAGCAACAATCCCAAATGATGGGGCTTTCTACAAAACAGTTGGCCTTTACTCTTCAAAAGTGTCAGGTCACGAAATAAATCCATGCTGAGGACCCGTTCCAGGTTAAAGCAGACTAAAGGGGCTGGACAACCAAGTGAAACGTGTGAGCTTGGATTAGATGCTGGACTAGAGAAGGCTGTGAGGGGGACAATGGCTGAAATGTGAATGAGGTCTATAGATTAGATTATAAGTTGTATCAGTGCTGATTCTGTGGTTTTGATCATTGTACTATAGTTATGAAAAATGTTAAGACTTGGAAAATCTATATAAAGCAGACGGCATAATTCTTGTACTTTTTTTGCAACTTTTTAATAAACCTGAAACTATTTCAAAATGAAAAGTTAATCCAAGCTGTCTTGAGTAGAAGTTAAAACAACAACAACAAAAGAAAATTGAAAAGTTAAAAATGAACCCCCAACAGAATGTTCCCCTTTATTTTTCTTTCATGTAAGGACGCAGGATATGCATTTTGCTCAGCTACCACCCTTCACTGCATCCCATTTTGAGAAGTGGTATTTTCTTCATTCATCTGTTCTAGGTTTTTAAAAAAATATTTAAGATCTTCTCTTTTTAAAGAATCTGTTCATTTGGAATGTACTTTTTGCATTTTTACTTGTGAAAATATGTATTTATCCTTTTTGTTATGAATGTATGACTTCACTGTGTCAGAGAATATGGTCTTAAGAGATACAGAAAACTTTTGAGAATGATAAGATCTGGACATGCTAGATGAAATCAAAGCCCTGGATGTCCTTGTTCAAGCTTCCAGGGTTGAGTGCCTGAGTGCCTGAGTGCCGGGGGCATGTGGCGTCCATCACGCTCACAGGGTGAGAGCCGAGGAAGCAGTTTGTTTCACTGAACATTAACTTGAGAAAACAAACTGTCCTCCCCACATTTTCTCAGCCTTGGTCACTGTCCTTTCAGGAGCTCAGAGACTTCTGGGTCTGCTCCCAGTCTTCATGGTCCCTGGTGTCCCCACAGTGTGGAGCCCCTTGCCCTACTTTTGGGGACTGTTAGACAAAGAGGGGATGCATCAGAGCTGAGGCTGGGGCTGAGTCTGGAAGGGGGTGGACCTGCATCTCACCCCGGGCTGTGATGGCTGCATCCTCCTCCTTGGGCCTCCAAGGTTGCTGCGTAAGAACCCCAGGAATCCTCCCCAGTACCTCTGTCCTCTGTCAGGCCCAGCCCAGGTCTGAGGGAAGGGGCAGGAGGGGGATTCAGGCGAGGGTCCCTGGGATGCAGACCCCTGTGAGGATAGGGCTGGAGGGGCCAGGAGGACACATCCCAGTGGGCACAGAGGAGGCGTCCAGGGGCAGGACCAATGGTTGAGGGGAGAGAGCAGGGGTCGGGGCCCTGGCGAGGTTCTGCCTCTGCTCCCAGTGTAGACCTGCTGCCTGCGTAATGGACAGGGTTCTCCTGATCCTGGGGCCCATGCTGGTGTATGCAGAGAAAGGTGAAGACACCAGGACGGGGTGGAAGGAAAGGCCAGCTGTGTCTCTGTGGTGTAAGGCGCATGTTTCCTTGAGGACAACGCAGGCCTGCTGTGCTGAGTGCATTTTGCCCTGTGACCCTGCAGCGGAGTGGGATGCTATGTGGCTTCACACCCACGGCTGTGAACACCGGCCCCAGGGTGGAGAATGTGTGCTCAGGGTTGAGGGTGTCACCTGAGGTGCTATGAGCTTGGGGTCTTTGGGCATCTTCACATGGTAGTGGCTGGGCCCAGACCCAGGTGTGCTCGGAGCCCATGGCTCTGCCCTCACCCCTCCTCCTGCAAACTGAAGCCTGTCATGCTACCACTGCCTCCACACCAATGCCAGCAGGCCTACAAGCCAGTCTCCTGCAGTGCCCAGGAAAGCCTGGGTTTCTTCCAGCTTGCGGTGGTCCACACAGGGCAGGGCCAGCCGGGACAGTCCCTGGAGAGGGTGGGGGTGGGCTTCTGAGCTCCGTGGTTCCCTCCACGGGCTCCTGCCCAGCTGTGAGCAGGGCCTGGGGGTCCAGGGTTAGGGGACCTAGACTTTGAGTTCCGGCCTGGGCAGCCTCCCCTCCCTTCATCCTCCTCGTGGACTCAGCTGGGGACTCCATGCTGGGCCTCTGGATCCCTTAGGAAAAGCAGGCCGTGGGATGCCACATACGCCTGGAGGGGAGGGGAGCAGCCAGGAGTCCAGAGAGCCAATGACACCCATCTCTTTTGGGGTGACCAGATAGAGAATTGATGTACATTCCAATTCCATGGGAGGACCCTGGGTAACAGGAAGTCCTCTCCCTGCTCTGGTTCCAAAGGGCATAAGCCACAGTGCAGTTCAACTCTCCACTCTACAGCAGGCACCAGCGGGCATCCCCGGGACACAGGCACCAGTGGGCATCCCCAGGACATGCCAGCCATGTGTCTCTGTCTTCTTTCATTCTTATTTATTTGTTTATTATTTTTATTTTGTAGACATGGGGTCTCACTATGTTGCTCTGGCTGGTCTCAAACTCCTGGGCTCAAGTAATCCTCTGCCTCAGCTTCCCAAACTGCTGGGATTACAGGCATGAGCTGCCGCACCGTCACCCTCCTCTTTCTTTGTGATAATTTCTGAGTATTTTGGGGGCTAGCAGGTGCAGAGCTGGCTTGTTACTTTCAAAGGCCTCAAAGCCCCACCTGGCCAGGCCGCCACCCTGCTGTACGTGGTTTTGCATCCTCTGTCACCCGTCTAGATAAGAGAGGCACATTTTGAATTTTGGCTGCAAGCCACCTTCCCTCAAAAACTCCCTCGCTGATGTGCTGATGGGCATGCAGCCCTCGGCACGCCCGTGGCCCTCCCGGCACCATGTCCTCTTCTCCCAGTGGTTTGGGGTGATGGCTGGTGGTCTTATATTTATTCATTTATCTTTGAGATAGGGTCTTGTTCTGTCACCCAGGATAGAGTGCAGTGGCACGATCATGGCTCACTGAAGCCTTGCCCTCTCAGACTCAAGTGATCCTCCCACCTCAGCCTCCCAAGTAGCTGGGACAACAGGCACGTGCCACCACACCCAACTTATTTATTTATTTATTTATTTATTTATTTATTTATAGAATGGGGGTCTACTATGTTGCCCAGGCTGATCTCCAACTCCTGGCCTCAGGGGATCCTCCCACCTTGGCCTCCCAGAGTGCCAGGATTACAGGCATGAGCCACTGCACCCGGCCAGCCAGCTGGGGCTTTGACAAGCATTGAACTCCAGCCCTCTTGGGCGGGCTGTTCCTGTCTGCCATCTGCTGTGGTCATCTTCTCAGACAACCACCTCACCGCTCCTTCGGCATCTGCTCCTCCTTCCTCCTGTTTTGAAGGAAGTTTTGTATAAACGGAGACTGCAGCTTCCCTGGATGCAGCTCGTGCTGGTTTCTACCCCTCCCCTCTGTCCTTCTGGGTCCAGGTTTAGTGGCAGCAAAGCCCCCACCTGGGTGAGCCCTGGGCAGGTCGGGAGGGAGGTGGGCTGCAGGGGTGGCTCAGCCCTTGGGACTGACTAGGACTTTAAAGATCCTGTTTCTTCCCTATCCAGCTGTGCGGTGCTTCCTGCGGATAGGGACAGCAGATCCCCAGGCCTCCTTCAGCTGGAAAACGTTCTTCTTGAGTGTAGGATGTGATGTTGGCACCTCCTGCTGTGCCCGCATGAGCCTTCCTTCTCTTTCAGGGCCGTTCCAGGTTTTCCTTTGTGCCTTGTCAGGAGGGTCCCCTATAAACAGACACAGTGGCAGAGGCCTCTCCAGACATCTCTGTCACATCTGTGCACGCAAGCAGGACCCAGCCAAGCCTGGGTCGGATGCCCGCAGGCACTGGGAGACCACCTGCTGCTCTGAATTCTGCCCCCAGGTCCAGGGAGGTCTGGGAAATCTGTCCTCCCTGGTCCTCACCTCCTCCGGGAAAGCCGGCTTCTGTGCTGTCCCTGGAGGCTCAGGGCTGTGAGCCCGGCCTTCTCTCTCCCCAGGGTCAGAACAAGTGACAGAGGTCACCAGGGGCTGCACCAACAACCGCATCGTCTCGGCCCGTCCCGGCTGGGAGGAGTTCACCTGGGACAGCATCCTCTGTGCCAGCGTCTTGTGCTGTTTGGAGACCCTGGGTAACCGGGAAGCCATGGCAGGCAGCGCTGCCCAGGCCCTGCAAGGGGGCTGCAGCTCACCCAGTGGTTAGCACCCTCCCTCCCTGATGCCCGCCCCCCTCATCTGCATGGTCCTTTGATGACCATCTCCACGTCTCATCCCCCATCTCTGTTTGGACTGGTCATGGGGCCTGCCCTCGCAGGTGAGGCTGCCTTGACTCGCTGCCTCCCCCTAACAGTGGAGGGAGAAGCTTCCTCTTGAGCCTGTAAGTCTGGGCAGGTCCAGCCCCCGTCCCCTCCCCCAGGGCCAAGGGGTGGCCAGTGCCCCGGTGTGTGCTTTCTGTTCCAGCCCAGGAGGGCGTCCCCTGACAAAGCCGCCCCTCTGTGCTGTGAGGTGGGAGGAGCCTCTGCCTGTCTACCGGCCCCAGATTCCACGCCCATCGGGGAAGCCCGGCAAAGGCACCAGCACTGGGAATGTGCCCCAGCAAACAGTGAGCAACGAGGAGGGTGAGGAAAGCGAGGAAGGCAGCCAGGACTCAGTGGCAGTGTGGACGCCGATGGCTGGATCATGAGCACCCCAGTGCTGTTCTCATGACAGAGTTCTCACGAGATCTGGGCATTTAAAAGTGTGTAGCACCTTCCCCCTCTCCCTCCTCCCCCCACCCCTCGCCCCCAGCTTTCTCCTGCTACGGCCTGTGACGCACCTGCTCCCCCATTGCCTTCCGCCATGGTTGCAAGCTTCCTGAGGCCTCTAAGCCTCTTTTCTTTATAAATTTCCCAATATTAGGTTTTGTTTTGTTTTGTTTTGTTTTTTGAGACAGAGGCTTGCTCTGTCGCCCAGGCTGGAGTGCAGTGGCATGATCTCGGCTCACTGCAACCTCTGCCTCCTGGATTCAGGCGATTCTCCTGCCTCAGCCTCCCCAGTAGCTGGCATTACAGGCACCCACCACCATGCCCAACTAATTTTTGTATTTTTAGTAGAGATGGGTTTTCACCATGTTGGCCAGGCTGGTCTCAAACTCCTGACCTCAAATGATCCACCCACCTCGGCCCCCCAAAGTGCTGGGATTACAGATTACAGGTGTGAGCCACCGCACCCAGCCAGGTATTTCTTCTTCTTCTTCTTCTTTTTTTTTTTTTTTTTTTTGAGATGAAGTTTCACTCTTGTTGCCCAGGCTGGAGTGTGGTGGTGCGATCTTGGCTCACTGCAACCTCTGCCTCCTGGGTTTAAGCGATTCTCCTGTCTCAGCCTCCCAAGTAGCTGGAATTACAGGTGTCTGCCACCACACACGGCTAATTTTTTGTATTTTTAGTAGAGACAGGGTTTCACCATGTTGGCCAGGCTGGTCTCGAACTCGTGACCTCAGGTGATTCACCCAGCTTGGCCTCCCAAAGTGCTGGGATTACAGATTACAGGTGCAAGCCACCGCACCCAGCCAGGTATTTATAACGATGTGAGAACAGCCTAACACAGACATTATATAAAGAGAAAACTGCACACAATGTTCTTTATGAACACATAAAAATCCTTCACAAAATACTTGAAAATAGAGTTCAGCAATATATACAAATAATTAAAGACCATGACCAAGTGGAGCTTTATTCCAGGGATGCAAGTCTGGTTCAATATCCAAAAGTAATCAATGTAGTTCATCCTATTAGTAGGCTAAGGCACAGGTATACATATGTAACAAACCTGCACATGGTGCACATGCACCCTAAAACTTAACGTATAATAGTAATAAAATAAAATAAAATAAAATAAATAGGCTAAAGAAGAAAAATCACATGACCACGTCAAAATGCAGAAAAAGCACCTGGCAAAATTCAACATCACTCATGATTTAAAAAAAAAAAAAAAAAAAAAACAACTCTCAGAAGAAGAGGAATCAAGGGGAACTTCATCAACTTGATAAAGATCATCTACAAAACACCCTCAGCTCACACGCTTGCTAATGAAAGACTAGATGCTTTCCCCTAAGATCAGAAACAAATGAAGAGCATCAGCTCTCACCACTAGCGTTCAACACAACACAGTGCTGGAAGCTCTGGCCGGTGCACACAGCAAGACAAGGAAACCCTCGCGTTCAACACAACACAGTGCTGGAAGCTCTGGCCGGTGCACACAGAGAGACAAAGAAACCCTCGCGTTCAACACAACACAGTGCTGGAAGCTCTGGCCGGTGCACAAAGAGAGACAAAGAAACCCTCGCGTTCAACACAACACAGTGCTGGAAGCTCTGGCCGGTGCACACAGAGAGACAAGGAAACCCTCGCGTTCAACACAACACAGTGCTGGAAGCTCTGGCCGGTGCACAGAGCAAGACGAAGAAACCCTCGCGTTCAACACAACACAGTGCTGGAAGCTCTGGCCGGTGCACACAGCAAGACAAGGAAACCCTCGCGTTCAACACAGTGCTGGAAGCTCTGGCTGGTGCACAGCAAGACAAGGAAACCCTCGCGTTCAACACAACACAGTGCTGGAAGCTCTGGCCGGTGCACACAGAGAGACAAGGAAACCAAAGGCATACACATCAAAAAGGAAGACACGCCCTTGTCCCATAAGCAGATGACTTTGTAGCCCACTTAAAAAATCGTAAGGAATCTGAAATAAATAAGAGCGTCCTAGAACTAATCAGTGAGTTCAGAAAGGTCACAAGAAAGAAGATAAACGTTTGAAAAATCAATTGTATTTCTATGTAGTAGCAGTAAACACATGGGCATCACAATGAAAAATATACTTCTATTTTTAACCACTCAAAAAATGAAGTACTTAGGTGTAAGTCTAACAAATAATGTGCTGGACTTTGTATATGTGTTTTGTACACAGAATTCTGATGAAAGAAAGAAGACGAAGAAAGTAAGTGAAAAGGCGTGCCTTGCTCATAGAGTGGAAGACTCAACATCGTGAAGTGGTGAATTCTCTCCCCAGACTGATTTATGGGTTTAACACAATTCTTATTGCGTCTAACAAAATTCCAAAAAGATATGTCATGAATAAGTACAAGATTATTCCAAAGGATAGATGGAAAGTGATGGAGCTAGAATAGCTAAAATTGGGTAATTTTTAAAGGAAAGAAATTTAATGCCTGTAATTCCAGCACTTCAGGAGTCCAAGGTGGGTGGATCACGAGGTCAGGAGATCGAGACCATCCTGGCTAACACAGTGAAACCCTGTCTCTACTAAAAATACAAAAAATTAGCTGGGCATGGTGGTGGGTGCCTGTAGTCCCAGCTACTCGGGAGGCTGAGGCAGGAGAATGGCGTGAACCTGGGAGGCGGGGCTTGCAGTGAGCCGAGACCGCACCACTGCACTCCAGCCTGGGTGATAGAGCGAGACTCTGTCGCAAAAAAAAAAAAAAAAAAAAAGAAGAGGCTTAATTTGGAAAAAGAGAAAAATGGGGCTAATCCATGTACCTGATTGCAAGACTTCTTATATATAGTAGTTATAATGACCTAGAGAGTGTGGGGTTGGCAGAGGGACAGATACTCAGATTGATGTGGCACAACGAACTGCCCAGAAATAGACCCACACAAATACGCCCTGGGGATTCCTACAAAGATGCAAGTGCGACTCAGTGGAAGACGCATTGCTTTCAAAGTGCGGCGCCACAGCAATGGAAAATCCGTAGGCAAAAAGCAACAACAGACAACAACAAAACTCAACCTAGACCTTGCACAAAAGTGACCTCAAAACAGATCACAAACATGAAATCAGAAAAAAAAAAATTAGGGAAAACAAAACCACAGGAGAACATCTTTGAGATCTGGGACAAGACAAAAAGGTTTTCAGACTTGACACCAGAAGCATGATCCATAAAAAGAAAAACTGATAAACTTGACCTCTTCAAATTTAAGACTTTTGCACTAAAAAAAAAAAAACTGTTAAGAGGATGTAAAGACAAGCTACAGTCTGGGAGAAAATATTTGCAAACCATTTATCCAGCAAAGAACTAGTGTCTAGACTGTATAAAGAACTCTCAAAATTCAACAGTTACAAATCAACCAATTAGAAAATGGGCAAAAGACATGAAAAGGCACTTCACTGAAGAGAATATTTATTCAAAGGAGGGCTTTCCTCATGAAAAACGAATATATAGATAACAAAATATGTACATAAAAAGATGTTCAACAACTTTGTAAGTGAAAGAAATGAAAATTAAAATGCAACAAGATATTATACACACCTATTGGAAAGGCTAAAATAAAAAAATGCCACTGGTGAGGATGTGGAACACTGGATCCGTCACACATTATTGATGTGAACATACAGTAGTAAAAACCCCCTGGAAAGCATTTCAGCTGTTTCTTAAAAAACTAAACATATGGCCAGGCACTGTGGCTCACACCTGTAATTCCAGCAGTTTGGGAGGCTAAGTCAGGCAGATCACGAGGTCAAGAGATTGAGGCCATCCTGGCCAACATGGTGAAACCTCATCTCTACTAAAAACACAAAAATTAGCTGGGCATGGTGGTGCACCTCTATAGTCCCAGCTACTCAGGAGGCTGAGGCAGGAGAATCGCTTGAACCTGGGATGTGGAGGTTGCAGTGAGCCGAGATCGCACCACTGCACTCCAGCCTGGGTGACAGAGCAAGACTCCATTGTGAAAAATAATAATAATAATAAATAAACATACAACTACCATACCACCCAATAATTGCACTCCCGGCCATTTACCTAGAGAAATGGAGACTTATGTTCACTCCCAAACCTGCTGTGTTAGTCTGTTTTCACACAGCTGATTAAGACATACCCGAAACTGGGCAATTTACAAAAGAAAGAGGCTTACTGTACTTACAGTTCCATGTGGCTGGGGAGGCCTCACAACCATGGCAGAAGGCAAGGAGAAGCAAGTCACGTTTTACGTGGATGGCGGCAGGCAAAGAGAGAGCTTGTGCAGGGAGACTCCCGTTTTTCAAAACCATCAGATCTCATTAGACTTATTCACTATCATGAGAACAGCACAGGAAAGACCTGCCCCCTGCTTCAATTACCTCCCACCAAGTCCCTCCCACAACACATGGAAATTCAAGGTGAGATTTGGGTGGGGACACAGCCAAACCATATGACCTAAACATGAATGTTTAGCACAGCTTGATACCAAATACCCCAACACTAGAAGCAACCCAGGTGTCCCTCAGTGGGCAAATGGTTAAACAAAGTGTAACACATCCGTACCGTGAAACACTACTGAGCAATAAAAATGAATGAGCTCTTGACACACCCCAAAGATGGACAGATCTTAAGAGAGCTATGCTGAGGGGAAAACACCAGTCCAAAGAAGTGACATTCTTTCTTTTTTGAGATGGAGTCTGGCTCTGTCACCCAGGCTAGAATGCAGTGGTGCGATCTCAGCTCACTGCAACCTCCGCCTCCCAGGTTCAGACAATTCCCCTGCCTCAGACTTCTGAGTAGCTGGGATTACAGGTGTGTACCACCACACCCGGTTAATTTTTTTATTTTTAGTAGAGATGAGGTTTCACAGTGTTGGCCAAGCTGGTCTTGAACTCCTGACCTCAAGTGATCTCCCCACCTCAGCCTCCCAAAGTGCTGGGATTACAGGCATGGGCCACTGTGCCCAGCCCCAAGAGGTTACATTCTGTAGGGCTCTATTTCTATTTCATGCTTGAAATGACACAATTATAGAAATGGAGAGGAGTGTTCCCCAAGAGTTAGTGGAGATTAGTATTCCCCAAGAATAGATTAGTGTTCCCCAAGAGTGAGGGAGGTCTTGGAAATAGGGGTAGGAGGCGGAGGGGGTGTGGCTATCAAGGACAACAGGAGGGACCCACGTGGTGCCAGAAACGTCTGTGCCTTGCCGCATCGATGCTCATGTCCTGGTTGTGCCGTTGTACTTTTCAGCTTTACAAGATGTTACTATTGAGGGAAACTGGGTGAAGGGCACACAGGACCTCTCTGTGTTATTCCTCACAACTACATGTGGATCTACAATGATCTCATAATTAAAAGTTGTATTTTTAAAAAGTATCCCAGACTTGGTCCCTAGGAGCCCGATCGAGTGGGGTTCTGTGTGCTTTTGAGATATTGCTGCCATCCTCTGAACTATTCCTTACTTTCCAACCATACGAGTCTTGGTGAAAAGGTGGAGTGACCAGACCATTCCTGCTCTGCTGGTGAACATGGAAAATGCTACAACCACCTTTGAAAATAGTTTGGCAGTTTCTTAAAAAGTTAAATATATGCCTGCATATGGTGCAGCCATTCCACTTGTGGGTATTTAGCAAAAAGCAATGAAAGCCCACATCCTTAAAAAGACCTGTATGCGAATGTTCGTAGCAGGCTTACTTGTAACGGACAGAAGCTGGAAAGACTCGAAACACCCACCAACATGCAAATGAGTAAACAAAGTGTGCTCCATCCAAGAATGGAAGACTGCCCAGCAATAGAAAGGAATTAACTGCTGATACACGCGGCCATGCAGATGAAGCTCAGAATAAGTAAGTCAGAGAAAAACACGTGTCTTAACTGAATGATTCCAGTTGGATAAAATTCCCGAAAATGCAAACTAGTCTACGGTTAAAGAAAGTGAGTCAGTGATTGCCTTGTGGGGTAGGGAGGGAAGGGAGGAGGAATTACAGAGGGGCAGGAGGAGGTTTTGAGAGTGGTGGATCCATTCCTTACCTCCATCAGTGTGCTGGTTCACCATGCAAGTGTCAACAATTATCAGGCTGTACACTCTAAACTTTACAGTTTATTGTATGTCAATTATATCTCAATAAAGCTGCTAAAAACAAAAACAAGTCTGAGAAATATGCAGAGAAGAGTGTGATGATAACTTGACTTCCCAACATCCCAGGTCAGAGAACAACAATGCAAGAGGCCTGATGCTGTGCTCTGAGCTCCTCACGGAGAAAGAAGTCCTAGGGCTCTGGGCCCCGTGCTTTGGAGTCAGAGCCACCTGAGCTGGCTTCTGCTCTGCTCATCCCTTTGGTCCCAGGCACCACCAGGCTTGTGCCGGGAGTCGGTGGCGATGGCGGGAACAACATCCCGTGCCCCTGTCCAAGGTGCTGAGCAGACGACGCAGGCCCCTCTTGAGCCCCTGGACTTGGTGGCGACAGGCTTAGGACCCACAATGACTGCAATGCTCTAGGTGCTCACCCAGGACCCCCAGCGCCAGGCAGACCAGGACCAGGCAGGGCTCAGGCTGCGTCAGAACCTCCCCAGAGGCACAGCAAGTTTATGGAAGCAAGTGCTCATGTAGACAGGCGCTAACGTTTTGTTTCTCTGTCTCCGTGGGACCGTGAGCTCCTCAAGGCAGACGGGGCCTGACGAGCACCTCCACTGCCTGAGGGGCCCCCTGGGGTGCCTGTGGGTCCTGTCCTGTCACCCTCTTTTGCTGACACACGTTAATCCTACAGTCCACTGTGTGAGGAGGTGATGACTCCGAATTGGGGTCTCTCTGACCATTTACAATCCCACTCGTCAGCAGAAAGTGTCTGCCGGGGTGAGCTGGGGCTCAGTCTGGAGAGTGGTTTGCCTGTGGACCAAGCACATGCTGGAGGCGTGAGGCAGAGAGGTCCCAAAGGGGTGAAAGGCATTTCTCTTAGTGGTGTCAGCTCTGCCCTCTTGAGGTCCTGCTATGAACACTTGAAGCTCCCTCATGTCCATCAAGGAACTCTGGAACCCAAAGACCACCCAGCTAGTCCAGGATCTCAATGGCCTGGGGCTGGACCCAAGGTGGTGAAGGTGTTATTCCCCTGGTTAGGGAGACTTGCCAGCCCAGAGAGGTGTGTGTGTGCAGCGGAGTTCCAGGTTCCTGTTCTGGGCAACCAGACTTGGGTCTGGCCCCAAGGAGCCCCTTGGGCTCTGCTGCAGCAGACGCCAGGGAAGAGCTAGACCTCACAGTGCAGCAGCCGTGTCAGCACAGGCTCCACGATGTGGAGCCACACATCCCCCACTCCGCTGTCGAGGCCGCCTGCACCATCAGAGACTAGGATAGGCCACTCTGGGGGTACCTTGTGCACTTGACTGGCGGGAGAGACCTCTGCTGGGGCTGCACTTACTAAGCATGTAGCTAGGACACAAATATCTCCACATTTGGGCTCATTTAGAGACGTCTACCCACTAGCTATTCCCTGAGACCTTCCAGCCCACAGGGTTCCCTCCCAGACCCTGGTTGTCCAGGCCAGCCCCTTTGGGTGCTGAATCAACATAGAGCTACAGCTCTGTCCCTTTCTCCTTCCAGGCAAAACCATACCAGGTGAGTCCCACAGGTTCTGCTCATAAGGTGGACTTTCCCCTCTCCCCTCGTAATCACCTGATCAAGGACAGTTTGATAGCTAGGGTTTTTCAAGGTTTTCTCCATATATTTCCAGGATAGTTTGGTGGGCAGGGGGACTAGGGGAATGGGTGCTGCTGATTGGTTGGGGATGCAATGATAGTCTGCCTCTGGGTGAGGACCACAGGACCAGTTGAGCCAAGAGTTGACGGTCCCGGTGGGGCCATCCGGTTGTCAGAAATGCAAAAGCCTGAAAAGACATCTCGAAAGGCCACCTTAGGTTCTACAATAGTGAAGTTATCTGCAGGAGGAATTGGGGAAGTTGCAAATCTTGTGGCCTCCAGAGCAATGGCTGGTAATCGTATAACTATGCCCACATCTTAGCAGAATTCAGGTCCCTCTCATCCTCCTAACCTGGCAGTCTTTCATTCGTTTTTCAAAGGTGATTTAGTCTGGGGAAAAGGTTAGTGCAAAAGTAATTGCATTACTTTTAATGGCAAAAAGCACAATGACATTTTCACCAACCCACCAACCTAATAATTTCAACTATAAACTAAATTTTTCCCAAAGTTAGCTTGGTCCAAGCCCAGGAATAACCAAGGGCAGTTTGGAGTTAAAGGCAAGATGAGATTGGTCAGGTCAGATCTCTTTCACCATCATAATTTTCTCACTGTTATCATTTTTGCAAAGACAGTTTCACCCTCTGCATCATTTAGGGCCACCCTTCAAAGGGGGAAGGGTGTGGCCATGTACTTTTGGGTAATGCCAGTATTTCATTAAAAAACATCCAGAAATGAGGCCGAAATATTTTCTTCTCTATAGGGCTGGTCAGAGGGAACAACCTGTGAGGACATCAGTGTGGGGACAGAGACCAAGGAGTGCAACAGGGGTCAGCCGTATCAGCCGTGTGTGAGTCTGAGCCACATACCTCACCCCTCCTGGCTAGTGGGGTGCAACCATGTCAGCCGTGCGTGAGCCTGAGCCACATGCCTCACCCCTACTGGCTAGCAGGGCGCAGCTGTGTCAGCCGTGCACAAGCCTGAGCCACATGCCTCACCCCTCCTGGCTAGCAGGGCGCAGCCATGTACATCTGGGGCATGAGTGCTGGGTGACACTCACTCATGGCAGGAGGCCCAGGTCCCTTGACAACCTGTACTTTATGGTATAGGTTGTCTGTTCTAAGCATGTGTTCTGAAATGGAACATTCATAGTGTTCACTGGCTTACTAGTTTCACCTCTAGGAAGTAGTGAACCTTCACTTGAGCCCAGTCGAAAGCCAGACTTTTTTTTTCTTGAAAGGAGAACAGTTATCTGCTGAAGACTATTCTGCCTCCAAAATCCAGAACGCCCTGCCTGGCACTGTGCCCCTCTCTTAGTGATGGGAGGTACCAGGACAGCAATTCTCTTTCCCTTGGGGGGAAATCGGGAGATGCTCCCAGGCGCTGGACCCCGGAGATCCCACCGAGATGGAAGACGCCTGGATTTTGTGTGCCTTATTTTCCAAGCTTCTGGCAAACATTTCTGTTCTAAGCATGGATTCTGAAATGGAATATTTGCCACATGGTGGTTCCTGGGCTTGCTATTAATAGTTCCACTATAAGCTGGAGCTGATCTCAAACATTCTTTGCCATCTGACCGGCTTACCCTCACCCCCACTCCCCGGAATGAAGGAACAGTGTCATATTAAGTCTCCAGGAATTATCGGTGTCCAGTCATCCTGAAAATCCTGAAAAATATGGTCATTTCTCCTCCTCCAACACACAGTCATCCTGGCAAGAAGACGGCTAGGAAGATTTACACCCTGAATCCGTGCATGCAACAGTGTTCTCCTTCAGTGGAACCCTGCCTATGCTTGACTTAGGGCGCTCTGGCTAAAATACGGGAATCAGGGGTGGACGGTGGGTTCTCATTTGAGTCTTTCACTTGTGACATAAGCTGCCCAGGCCAGGATCCAGGATTTTTTTTTTTTTTTTTTTTTTTGAGATGGAGTCTTGCTCTGTCGCCCAGGCTGGAGTGCAGTGGCTCAATCTCGGCTCACTACAATCTCTGCCTCCTGGGTTCAAGCATTTCTCCTGCCTCAGCCTATGAAATAGCTGGGACTACAGGTGCCTGCCATGATACCTGGCTAATTTTTGTATTTTTTGTACAGATGTGCTTCACCACGTTGGCCAGGCTGGTCTCCAACTCCTGACCTCAGGTGATCTGCCTGCCATGGCCTTCCAAAGTGCTGGGATTATAGACATGAGCCACCATGCCTGGCCAGGCCAGGATTTTGTTTTAATCATTGCTTATACAAATCAGGTTAGACTGTCTCCCACTGAATTCAGGAAGCCAAGGGAAGCAACGTTTTTGCAGTTCTGGAATATTCTTCTGTTGCACTTTTTTTTTTTTTTTTTTTTTTTTTTTTTTTTGGAGACAGAGTCTCGCTCTGTTGCCCAGGCTGGAGTGCAGTGGCATGATCTCGGCTCACTGCAACATCTGCCTCCCAGGTTCAAGTGATTCTCCTGCCTCAGCCTCCTGAGTAGCTGGGACTACAGGTGCATGCCACCATGCCTGACTAACTTTTGTATTTTCAGTAGAGACAGGATTTCCCCATGTTGGCCAGGCTGGTCTGGAACTCTTGACCTCAGGTGATCCACCTGCCTCGATCTACAGAAGTGCTGGGATTATAGGCATGAGCCACTGTGCCCGGCCGCACTTTTTATTTGTCAAAGTACAAAGGTACTGACACACAAAAAACGTTTTTTCCTTTGTCATTTTTTTTTTGTGGTAAAATGCACATAACACAGAAAACCAAACGCCAAATCTCTCTCATAAGTGGGAGTTGAACAGTGAGAACACAAGGACACAGGGAGGGGAACAACCCACACCAGGGCCTGTTGGGGGGTGGGGAGCAACAGGAGGGAACTTAGAGGATGGGTCAATAGGTGCAGCAAACCACCATGGCACATGTATACCTATGTAACCAACCAGCGAACCACCATGGCACACATGTACCTATGTAACCAACCAGCGAACCACCATGGCACACACGTACCTAAGTAACCAACCAGCGAACCACCATGGCACACGCGTACCTATGTAACCAACCAGCAAACCACCATGGCACACGCGTACCTATGTAACAAACCAGCAAACCACCACGGCACGCATGTACCTAGGTAACCAACCAGCAAACCACCATGGCACGCATGTACCTATGTAACCAACCAGCAAACGACCATGGCACATGTGTACCTATGTAACAAACCAGTAAACTACCATGGCACGCATGTACCTATGTAACCAACCAGTAAACCACCATGGCACACATATACCTATGTAACCAACCAGCAAACCACCATGGCACACGTGTACCTATGTAACCAACCAGCAAACCACCATGGCACACGCATACCTATGTAACCAACCAGCAAACCACCATGGCATATGTATACCTACGTAACAAACCAGCAAACCACCCGGCACACATGTACCTATGTAACCAACCAGCAAACCACCATGGCACATGTATACCTACGTAACAAACCAGCAAACCACCCGGCACACGTATACCTATGTAACCAACCAGCAAACCACCATGGCACACGTATACCTATGTAACCAACCAGCAAACCACCATGGCACATGTATACCTACGTAACAAACCAGCAAACCACCCGGCACACATGTACCTATGTAACAAACCAGCAAACCGCCATGGCACACGCGTTCCTATGTAACCAACAGCAAACCACCATGGCATGTGTGTACCTATGTAGCAAACCTGCACATTCTGCACTTGTATCCCTGAACTTAAAGTAAAATTATTTTTAAAAATTTACCATTTTTATCATTTTAAAGTGTACAATTCAGTGGCATTAAGTACACTTATAATGTGTGACCATGACCACCATCTTGTTCCAGAACCTTCTCATCACTCCAGATGGAAACCCCATGCCCCACTAAGCAGTCACTCCCCATTTTTTCCTCCCCCAGCCCCTAAGCAACCACTTTCTGTCTCTTGGACTTGTCTGTTCTGGACATTTCATATGAATGGAACCATACAGCATGCGGCCTTTGGTGCCAGGCTTCCGAGGTGCATCCACGCGTGTCACATATCAGATGCATCCACACGTGTCATGTATCAGGTGCATCTATCTGCACGTGTCACATATCAGGTGCATCTGCACGTGTCAGGTCCATCCACGCGTGTCACGTATCAGGTGCATCTGCACGTGTCATGTATCAAATGCTGTAAGTCCTAGTCATGAGGAAAATGAAAACCAAAACCACAATGAGATAGATACCTCTTCACACCCACTAGGATGGTCATCGTCAAAACTACAGAAAATAACAAGTGCTGGTGAGAAGATGAGGAGATTGGAACTCTCAGACCCTGCTGGTGGGAATATAAAATGCCGCAGCCACTGGAAACAGTTTCTTATAAAAGTAAACGTGCAAGTCCTGTGCAACACAGCAAGGGCACTCCTAGGTATATACCCAACGGGACTGAAAACAGGCATTCAAACAAAAACTTGTCCATGAATGTTCATAGCAGCTGATATGGTTTGGATGTTTTTTCCTCTAAATATCATGTGGAAATGATCCCCAGTGTTGGAGGGGGTGGGAAGTGACTGGATCATGGGGGTGGACCCTTCACGGATGCCTTGCTGCCACCCCTTGCTAATGAGTGCTTTCTCACAGTGAGCTCCCGGGAGATGTGGCTGTTTAAAAGTGTGCGGCGTCTCCCCCCACTATGTTCCTCCTGCTCCCATCATGGGACGCGCCATCTCTCACTTCCACCATCAATAAAAGCTCTCCGAGGCCTCCTGAGAAGCCTCCGCAAGCCAATGCCAGTGCCATGCTTACTGTCCAGCCTGCAGAACTGCGAGACAAACACAAATACCAGTCTCAGGTATTTCTTTACAGCAACAAAAGAACAGCCTAATATATGCAGCAATATTCACAAGTACCAAATGGTAGAAGCAACCCAAATATCCCTCAACAAATGACGGATAAACAGAATGTTTAAGTGTATACAGAAGAACACTATTCAGCCACTGTCTCACAGTGAACAAGTCCAAACACATCTACCTCAAAGTCCAAGGAAGCTGACAGGCCAAAGAAAGAGGCTGACAAATTCACATCTTTTTTTTTTTTTTTCTTTTGAGGCAGAGTCTTGCTCTGTCGCCCAGGCTGGAGTGCAGTGGCGCCATCTCGGCTCACTGCAAGCTCCGCTTCCCGGGTTCACGCCATTCTCCTGCCTCAGCCTCCCGAGTAGCTGGAACTACAGGCGCCCGCCACCACGCCCGGCTAATTTTTTGTATTTTTAGTAGAGACGGGGTTTCACCGGGTTAGCCAGGATGGTCTCGATCTCCTGACCTCGTGAAATGCCCACCTCGGTCTCCCAAAGTGCTGAGATTACAGGCGTGAGCCACCGCGCCTGGCCCACAAATTCAGTTCTTAAAAAGAAACATTTAATAGGGACTTAGAAACAGAAGCCATGTCAGTCTCAGGCTACGGTGAGTCAAGATGGCGGCTCCCTGCGCCGTCACCACCCAGGCCCAGGGCTTCTATTGCCATAGTGCAGGGGACATGCCTCAGAGGGGGTGGGCAGGAATTTCCCTAAGGCCAGGACTTGTGATAAGGATGTGCTCTTACACAAGGAACAACAGATGAACGGGAACTCTCAGAGGCATTCCCGGAACTGAGGTTAATCAGAAGCCAACACGACAAACTAGCGTCCAAGATGGAGCGGCTTCGGCCTCCATGATCCGCCCGCGCCGCCCCACTAATCCAGCTCTGACCGTCTCACCTGCCCTCCTCTTCCGCGATGGTCCCTGAGCCTTAGGGAGGGTGCTTGGGGTTGTCTGGCTTCAGCAGCGGTGCCTTGGCGTCGGAAAACAGGTCGGGCCCGGTGAGAGTCCCAGTGAGGGAGGGTCACCGGCTGTTGAATCATCTCTAGTCTTCAGGATACCACGACTTCTGTTTTCTCAGAGAAAATAAAACAACAAGAGATACATAACATTAATAATTTGCACACAAGGATGACAATCAAAAGGGAATTTGTATTTCAGAACAGTAACAAAAAAGAACCTATTTCATTAAGAAGCCGACTAAAAGCATCGTGAAGGAAACTAAAACCCGGTTTTTCTTTAGAGACTTGTAGCCAGTGAATGATTCAGGATTAGCCCAAATTGTAAGCAAATAATAACTCAAAAACAACGGTCAGAGCTAGGATCTAAATTTTTCTCTCTCTAGTTTCCCCATTTCTACCAAGGATAAATCATAGTAGGACCAGTTTATTTGCAAAATAAATTTCGGTCTCATTATACTTGGCCTATTTGCATGAAGCGTGGCAAGAATAGTTACCAGCCCTAGAGGCTTTTTTTTTTTTTTTTTTTCCCTGTGACAGGGGCTTGCTCTGTCAGCCATGCTGGAGTACAATGGTGCAATCAGAGCTCACTGCAGCCTCAGCCTCTCAGGCTCAAACACTCCTCCTGCCTCAGCCTCCCGAGTAGCTGGGACCCTTGGCACACCCCACCACACCCAGCTCATTTTTTATGTTTTGTAGAGACAGGGTCTCAGCATGTTGCCTAAGCTGGTCGGCTCTTTTTAAGTTGGCTTTGCTGGAACTTTTTTAGGGAATTTTGGACTCAACTTATTAAAAGCCTCAAGGGTAGGAAGCCAAGCGAAGGATTCACTGAATGAAATTGAAGTATTTTACCGCAAATTGTGTTTCTTTGCCATGTCTTGAAATAGCCTTGCAAAGCTTTCTCTTGTGGGGAAAAGCTGCATTCTGAAGAGAATCCTTTTCCTTTTTCAGGACTTTTCCCTGATTCAAGAGAGAATCAACTCTGGTAAGAAACATTTACAATCTGTTCTCTCTGAAGCTACCTGGAGGCTTTCTCTGTGTAATAGGAACTTGGTCACCACAATCCCTCATTAACCCAGACATTCCTTCTTTTGATTCCAGGTCTTTAGATAGTAACTCCTTCAACCAATTGCCAATCAGTAAATCTTTGAATCTACCTATGACCTGGAAGTCCCTGTTTCAAGTTGTCCCACCTTTCCTGATCGAACAAATGTATGTCTTCCCTGTATTGATTGGTGTCTCATGGCTCCCTAAAATTTATAAAACCAAGTTGTGGCCCAAACACCTTGGGCACTTGTTCTCACGGTCTCCTGAGGCCGTGTCATGGGCCACAGTCTCTCATATTTGGCTCAGAATAAATCTCTTCCAATATTTTACAGTTTGACTCTTTTCGTTGATTTTTTCATGCCTTTACTTTTGCAGTAGTAGGTAGGGGTTTCCCCAGTCCACGTACAATATCCATTTTCCATTTTCCTTTTTTTTTTTTTTCCTGAGTCTCTATTGCCCAGGCTGGAGTGCAATGGCACAATCTCGGCTCACTGCAGCCTCTGCCTCTTGGGTTCAAGCAATTCTCCTGCCTCAGCCTCCCCAATAGCTGGGACTACAGGTGCATGCCACCATGCCCGGCTAATTTTTGTATTTTTAGTATAGATGGGGTTTCATCATGTTGGTCAGGGTGGTCTTGAACTCCTAACCCCAAGTGATCCGCCCACCTCGGCCTCCCAAAGTGCTAGGATTACAGGTGTGAACCACTGTACCAGCTTCAATATCCATTTTCATAAAGCATTTAGGTAAAGGATATGTAATGCCTTACATAAAGCCTGTTTAAACATCTCGGCTTTCATAACTCTATCACACAAGTCGACTTTCATAACTCGACGTCTTTCTGTTCTGCTCCCAGGAACTTCTTTTTCCCACCTCCAGACCATTTTACCCTCTCTTGTGAAAAAGGATGTGGGTGCCCCACAGGGGCTTGATCCAAGGGACCCTGGCCCTTCTGTCAATCTTATCTTGATTAACCCACCTCAACATTGGCCCCCGCAATTGTTGGTCAGTTTGCTCAGTGTAACTTTTGCCTTCCAATTTTTATAGTTAGAGTGCCTTCTCCAATCTGGCAAAAACTGTTTTGGAGCTCTTTACTGTTGAGGGACCAGCGGGGGCTCCCTTTGTTCACCCAACTTTCGATAGTGTTGTATTAAGACCTTTGTGAATAACCCCCCATTATTCATTCCATTGCTTAACAACCATGTACAGATTCCACCCCGCTAGGATGCACCCCATGACTCTCTCCTTTCCTTTTTCCTCTTGGTTTCACCCCATCCACTTTTTACCTTTTTTTTGAGATGGAGTCTTACTCTGCCACCCAGGCTGGAGTGCAGTGGCAGTCTTGACTCACTGCAATTCTCCTCCCTCAGTCTCCTGAGTAGCTGGGATTACAGGTGCGCGCCACCACACCTGGCTAATTTTTGTATTTTTAGTAGAGATGAGGTTTCGCCATGTTGGCCAGGCCAGTCTCGAACTCCTGATCTCAGGTGGTCTGCCCACCTCTGCCCCTCAAAGTGCTGAGATTACAGGCGTGAGCCACCAGGCCTGGCCCATTTTTTACCTATTTAAAACTAATCGTTTAAAAATTTTCCCCTTCCTAGGATGAGTCCTTGGACTCCCTTTTGCCTTTCCCAATAATTTTATTAATTAGCCTAAAGTTTTTATAAGCATCTGGATGACCCATGAGGGGAAGTTGAGACCCAATGAGGTGCCCAGGCCAATGGGCCCCCTTAACCACAGCATTTACCATGATCTGGGCATACTCAGCCGTGAATATCCCGGTCATCATAAAGTCAGTCCCACATGGCTTGCTTACGAAGCACATCAGCTGCTTCATCGGGGGTGCTCCACTTGGCGTTTATGGGGAAAGTTGGGTGGTCCCCTTCTCTTACAGTGCCTTTTATCCAGCCCACCAGGCTGGCCGTTCCCTCAGGAATAATCTGTGCGTCTGGATCACACACACTCATCTGCCATTGTTCAGCAGTGAGCTGTGGGTCTCACATCAGCCCACACGTGCTCTTCCATTCTGCTGCACTTGTGACCAGCAGAAGGGTGAGGCTGCTCACCACTTGTAGAAAGAAGCCAAAATAATAATGAGGTGTGATAGAAAGAGAGTGAGACTTTATTATCCGTACCAGCAAAGGGATGAGCACAAAGCAATTCCACTCTTCCATTTGTGGAGGGAACGCAGGGGATTTTAAAGAGAGGGTTTGGAATGCAGAAGAGGCAGGTGATGAGGAGGTGTCGGGTGGCAGGAACCAGTCCCATGGCTCATCTCGAATTATTGTTCCATCTGGTGAAGGGGCCAGGGCCATCGTGGCTGGAAGTGTCTGGTCCATAGCAGGATCCGGCCCCTGAAACTTCTAAGGAAATACATCACCAGAGAAGTGAGCATGGTGTGAGCTTAACAAGCATCCAGGTAAATAAGTGTGTGTAAGGTGTGACAGCATGGAATAGAAAAAGAAGGGGAGGGGAGGCCACAGCACATTCCCAGGCTATGTTTCAAGATGAAAGGAAACCCGTATGCAGCTTGACTCAAAGTTATATCTTGAGATTGGGAAGAAAGGAGAAAAAACAAAGTTTTAAAACATGGTTTGAAGCCAAGCTGCTCAGTTACACATTTAAAACCAAAAACACTGTTCCCAAATTAGTCATTCTCATAATTTATTTTGGTAGAAGTTCCTCAGGAAGCGAATCTACAAAACGAAGCAATTGCCCCACATCACGTCCTCTGGCTTCAGTGCTACTTGATTTTGCCCTTACTACCATCTTGGTAACCACAGGTCTCAGGGTGCTTTCTTTCATCCCTGGCATCATTTCCCCTTTGTGGGTAGTTTTGAGGCTAATGGCCTGAGCTCAGACAGACCCACAACTGAGCATGGTCCAGGCCCAACCCAGCACTCTCTTACACTTTCATTTTAGCTACTGCAGATAGCAGTAACCAAGGGATTGAATGTTTTGCTTTTTGCTTATTAGTCTGCATCTTCTTATGCATCCACTGAACCAACTCCCCAAGGGTTTGTGCCATCTCTAATTCTACCAGTAGCTTTCCCCTTTAGCAGCTGAGGATGGCACAGCTGCAGCTCCAGACCAGGGATGACGTGTGGCCGCTAAGGAATCAAGGGCTTCTTGTTGCCCAGCCCTTTATTCTTCCTCTTTCTATCCATTTACTCTCATCCATGTCATCTTTCCTTGATTCCAAAACAACCTGTAAATAGCTTCCAAACTAGACAAGAGTACTTTTCCTTTAAGCAGAAACCATATCTTTATGATTTTTATAACCTTTGCTAAAAACACATCTTACATTATGGCCGGGCGCAGTGGCTCACGCCTACAATCCCAGCACTTTGGGAGGCGAGACGGGCACATAACTCAAGGTCAAGAGTTTGAGACCAGCCTGGCCAACGTGGTGAAACCCATCTCTACTAAAATATAAAAATTAGCCGGGTGTGGTGGCGGGCGACTGTAATCCCAGCTACTCAGGAGGCTGAGGCAGGAGAATCACTTGAACCCGGGAGACAGAGGTTGCAGTGAGCCAAGATCGTGCCATTGCACTCCAGCCTGGGGGAGAGAACGAGACTCAGTCTCAAAAAAAAAAAAGAAAAGGAAAAAAGAAAAACCCACATCTTACTTTTCATACACTCTGTATGTAGAATAGTTTTGCCTATATCTAGCAGTTTTAATTACATATATAAACTATTACTGTAACTTAGTAACCCCTTATTTCTAGAAAATCCTAGTCTTAATTTAGCATGACTTTTAGATTTTATAAAGAGAATTTTGAAACTAGTTTTACTTACCAAAGATTACCAAAGTCACATGAACTAAAAGGCATTTGAGCTAGCTTCTATTATCCTGATAAGATATTTAAGTGTTTAAATTTCCTTTAAGCCCATTAGAGTTCTTTCATACAATCTGGTAGTGACCGGTCACATACGCATGACCCATGTAAACATATATGAGATAGAATAGGAGCGGGACGTGGCTCCTCCTTCACGATCTCACCATGCCTTCTACCTAACCCTGTTCCCATTGAGAAAAAAGAAGGTGCCAGCGCTCATTTAATTTTACATAAACACGCTCTTTGAGGGTGAAGCAAATCTGACTGCTTTTCAATGTGAAAATAAAATATAAAAACTGTTGTTGGAGTTATTTCTAAACAGAACATCAGAGTCATCTGAAGCATCAGAATCATCTATTTCTGAAAAATCAGATTCATCAAATGATCTTCAGCCAACAACTGTTCGAAAACGGTGCTCATGTCACAGAAACGCTACATTTTCTAAGATTTGACATTTTCAGTGGTTGCTAATTACTATATGTTGTAACTGGAAATGCCACTACTGCAAACAGAATGTATAAATAGAATAATGTCTTTTGTTGCCAAAGTCAATCTACTAGAGCAATGCAAAAATAGTTATAAAAGTGAGATATTTCGTGGCAAAGTTTTCTCGAAGTAAATGCTGCAGCCACAAGTGCCACCGGCAAGTATTCTTGGGGCAAACAGGAAATGGGTTAAAGAAGTTCAGGATCCGGCCTTAGGAAATCCAAATATCACACCGAGGTTGCGGTCTGATCTCATTTATTCAGCCTGAATAGATTTCTTTAGCATTTCTCATAGCGCGTATGTGCTGATAATAAATTCTTGTGGTTTTATTTTATTTAAAAATGTATTTACTGCCGGGCTCAGTGGCTCACACCTGTAATCCCAGCACTTTGGGAGGCCAAGGCAGGTGGATCACCTGAGGTCAGAAGTTCAAGACCAGCCTGGCCAACATGGTGAAACCTCGTTTCTACTAAAAATACAAAAATTAGCCGAGTGTGGTGGCGGGTGCCTGTAATCCCAGCTACTCTGGAGGCTGAGGCAGGAGAATCGCTAGAACCATTAGGAGGCGGAGCTTGCAGGGAGCCGAGATCTCACCACTGCACTCCAGCCTGGGTGACAGAGCGAGACTCCGTCTCAAACAAACAAACAAACAATAGTATTTACTTCACCTTCCTTCTTGAATAATATTTTCACTGGATATAGAATACTGGGTAGATCCTTATTTTTCCTTCAGCACTTTAGAGACATTGTTCCACTGTCTTCTGGCCCCATTCATTTCTTTCTTTTTTTTCTTTTTTCTTTTTTTTTTTAGACAGAGTTTCACTCTTGTTGCCCAGGCTGGAGTGCAATGGCGCAATCTCAGCTCACCGCAACCTCTGCCTCCCGGGTTCAAGCGATTCTCCTGCTTCAGCCTCCCGAGTAGCTGGGATTACAGGCATGCGCCACCACGCCCAGCTAATTTTGTATTTTTGGTAGAGACAGGGTTTCTCCATGTTGGTTAGGCTGGTCTCAAACTCCCGACCTCAGGTGATCTGCCAGCCTCAGCCTCCCAAAGTGCTGGGATTACAGGCGTGAGCCACCGCGCCCGGGTGGCCCCCATCATTTCTGATGAGAAGTCAGCTCATGTTGGGGTTGATGTTCTAATACTTCGTGGGAATGTGTGTTTTCCTCCAACTGCTTTCAAAATGTGTCTTTGGCCGCCAGCAGTTTGACTATGGTGTGCCTAAATGTAGTGTTCTTTGTATTTATACTCTATGGGGTTTGTTGAGTTTCTTAAATCTGTAATTTTATGCCTTTCATGAAATACGGAGGTTTTTTGGCAATTGTTTCTTTAGATAATTTTTTTCTGCGCAATTTTTTCTCTCCTCTTCAGGAGCTCCTATTACATTTATCTTAGGCCTTTTAATATTGTGCCACGACACTCTGACGCTCTGTACATATTTTCCTTTTCCTCTGTATTCTTCAAATTGGTTAATTTCTATTAATTTACCTTCAAGCTCCTCTTTCTTCTGTCACCCTCAATCTTCTTTTAAGTCCAACTGGCAAATTTTTACCTCAAATATTTTAACTTTTTGGTCTAGAATTTCCACTTGATTCTTCTTATAGTTTCTATTTCTCTGTTGAGATTTTCTATCTTTTCATTCATTAAAAGCTTATTTTCCTTTACATCCTTGAACATAGATATAATTTCTGCTTAAAGCCTCGATGTGATCATTACAATATCTGAGTTATCTCAGAGATTGTCTCCATTCATTATCTTTTCTCTCATGTATGGGTCATAGTTTACTGTTTCTTCTGTGTCAAGAAATTTTATTTTTTTGAAACAGAGTCTCGCCCTGTCGCCCAGGCTGGAGTGCAGTGGCATGAGCTCAGCTCACTGCAACCTCTACCTCCCAGGTTCAAGTAACTCTCCTGCTTCAGCCTCCCAGGTAGCTGGGATTACAGGTGCAAGCCACCACGCCTGGCTAATTTTTTTGTTTGTTTGTTTTGTTGTTGTTGTTTTTAATAGAGACGGGGTTTCACCATGTTGGCCAGGCAGGTCTGGAAGTCCTGACCTCAGGTGATCCACCCGCCTCGGCATCCCAAAGTGCTGGGATTACAGGTGTGAGCCACCGCGCCCGGCCAGGTAATTTTAAATCGCTTCTGGACATTGACCGTGATGTGCATGGAAACTCTGCACTCATTATGTTCCTCTGAAGGACATTCTTTTTTTTTTTTTTTTTTTGAGACAGAGTTTTGCTCTTATTGCCCAGGCTGGAGTGCAGTGGAGCCATCTCAGCTCACTGCAACCTCCGCCTCCTGGCTTCAATCGATTCTCCTGCCTCAGCCTCCTGAGTAGCTGAGATTACAGGCATGTGCCACCACGCCCGGCTAATTTTTGGTATTTTTAGTAGAGACGGGGTTTCTCCATGTTGATCAGGCTGTCATCGAACTCTCAACCTCAGATCCGCCTGCCTCAGCCTCCCAAAGTGCTGGGATTACAGGGGTGAGCCACCACGCCCGGCTGGGCATTCCTTTTTTAATCAGGCTTTTCAACTTGGCTGAACTCAGCCTGTACACTCTGTCATCCAAGCGTGGATGGTAGCTGAAATTTCAGCTCAGTTCTACTTGGTTCAGTTCACCCTTAGCTGGGCTACTTGGAGTCCACCCTTGCTGAATACTGTGCAGAGAGTAAGTGAAAAGCAGGTTCGTTGCTCACCGCATGCAGAGTCCAATTAACCAAAGCAAGTTCTGGTACCAGGGAAGCAAGCTTACGCTGAAGCTAGCTCAGGGGAAGGGGCACACAGCATCCTGCCTTTAAATGTGCCGCTTCCCCTTTGGAGCCGAATGTAGGCATTTTTATAAGGTAGGGAGGAAATGAGCAAGGGCAGGGGTACCCCTGCTACTGGGAAGTTGGTATCTACCAGGCAGTTGTTATCTAGAGTCAGAGCCTTCCTGGGCAGAGTGGGTTACAAAAGTGGCCAAGTGGGCATGTTTTCGACATGCCCTCTTAGTGGGTGTGAGTTCCAGTTTCAAGGCAACCTCTGGAGGTGAGAGTTCCGTCTTGGAACACGCAGGTAGATGAACTTGCTCTGTAGGGAATATCTGGTTATGTTTGCCTTTCTAAAGGGCTAAGTAGGAAACAGGGAGCCAGGGAGGAGAAGAACAGGAAAAACAACTTCTAAAAGTTTAACTATCTCTTAGAAATATGGGGGTACTAGGATCCAAGAGGTTAGCCAGAAATAGGAGGACATTGTGTGCATAGAATGTTGGCTCTCCTTCTCCCTCTCTGTCTCTGTCTTGGATTTTCTCCCTCACTTTCCAGCTGCTGCTGTTGCCCTGAACTCTGTTGTCTGGTTCTTCAAGTCAATCAGGCTGTGGGTTTTCTACCTGAGTTTTAGCCTCTCCACGTGGTGCAGACTGGAATCCATCCTCAGGCTAAAATCCATGACAACAGGAACCCACCCCCCACCCCGGGGGGTTCTCCTGTCCCAGGTGTTGACTATCCCCCAGGCCTGGACGGCTTCTGTCACACTCCAGTGACTACCCTCAGGTAGTTGTTAATCTTTTGTCTGGAATTTAGAGTTGTTATCTAAGGGAAGGTTGGTATAATAGGAGCTTTTCAGCCATGATCAGATGTAAGTTCCAGTAAATATAGCTCAAAGTTCTAAGATTCTAGAAGTACTAGAAATACGAAAAAAGTAATTGCATATACTTCCAATAAGTCAAATTTTATGCTGTAATTTCTAAGGCAACTAGTTAAAAGTAAAAGCCATGTGACTGAGTAACAGAAAAAGTGGAATAAAAATATTTGATTAATCTAAAAAATGAAAGATGAGAAAAGAAACATAAAACAGATGAAATACCAAAAAAAAAAAACAAAGGTAGATATTACCCTACTATCAGTAATTTTACTAAGTCTAAACAAATTAAGTACTGGAAGCAGAAGAATAAGATTTTCAAAGCTGCTTATGAGAAAACGTAAGAACTCAAGAAAGAGCAAGAGTAAAATCACAGAGAAAAGCAAACCCTGTAAACCAAGAAAAAACTAGCGTGGCTCCACTCACACCACACACAGTACATTCTTATCACAAAGAGAACTGCTGCAATCTCTATTTTTTTCTAGCTAATAAATATTCTCTAGTTATAATAAAGGATACTTTAGGCCGGGCGCGGTGGCTCACGCCTGTAATCCCAGCAGTTTGGGAGGCCGAGGCGGGTGGATCACGAGATCAGGAGATCGAGACCATCCTGGCTAACAGGGTGAAACCCTGTCTCTACTAAAAATACAAAAAATTAGCCGGGCGTGGTGGCAGGTGCCTATAATCCCAGCTACTCGGGAGGCTGAGGCAGGAGAATGGCGTGAACCCAGGAGGCGGAGCTTGCAGTGAGCCGAGATCGTGCCCCTGCAGTCCGGCCTGGGCAAAAAAGCGAGACTCCGTCTCAAAAAAAAAAAAAATTAATAATAATAATAGAGCCTTTAAAAATGTATATATATTTAAAAATATGTAATTATATGTGTGTGTGTGTGTGTGTGTGTGTGTGTATATATATATATACATATATTTTTTTTTTTTTAAGATGGAGTCTCACTCTGTTGCCCAGGCTGGAGTGCAATACTGTGATCTTGGCTCACTGCAACCTCTGCTTCTCAGGTTCAAGCGATTCTCCTGGCTCAGCCTCCAGAGTAGCTGAGATTACAGACGCCCGCCACCACGCCTGGCTAATTTTTGTATTTTTTAGTAGAGATGGGGTTTCACCATGTTGGCCAGGCTGGTCTCAAACTCCTGACCTTAAGTGATCCACCCACCTCGGCCTCCCAAAGTGCTGGGATTACAGATGTGAGCCACCACACCCAGCCTAAAAATTATATATTTTAATGATTTTTCTCTAGTATGTGAAATACAAATGACTTCTATAATTTACTCTTCTCTACTGTTACTTCTAATAATGTCTCTGTAGTTTTATCTTTTCAATATAGATGATCCCCTAATCCAGGAGTTAGCAAACTTTTTCTGCAAAAGTTTTCCACTTTCCCAGCCATATGCTTGCTGTTGCAAGAACTCAGCTCTGTCCTGGTAACATGAAAGCAGCCAGAGACAAGATGGAAACAAATAGGTGTAGTCAGATTTCACCCATGATGGGTCAGATTTTGCCTACAGCGGGCAGTTTGCCAACCCCTTCTATAACCGACAAATAATAACATTTTAATTTCCTCCTTTCCAATCTTCGTGCCTTTATTTTTCTTACTTTATTATACTGTCTTATTCTATTGTTGAATGGAAATGGTAAACATAAATATCTAATGTGTTGGGGTGGGGGGATGGGGGAGGGATAGCATTAGGAAATATACCTAATGCTAAATGACGAGTTAATGGGTGCAGCACACCAACATGGCACATGTATACATATGTAACAAATCTGCACATTGTACACATGTACCCTAAAACTTAAAGTATAATAAAATAAAATAAAATAAAAAAAGAAAGGCTGCACATGCCCTCAGCTTAAAAAAAAAAAAATCTAATGTGTCATTCCTATTGCAAGAGGGAATGCTTCCACTCTGTCCCTGTCTATAATTGGTGGTAAGTTTTACACAGCTAGCCTTTATTAAGTTAAGGTAAAGTCCTTTCAGTCCTAATGTATACGAAGTTTTTCATAAATGTGTGTTAAGTTTTTTTTCAAAAGGGGTTTCATTGAATTGAACTGGTGACTTTTCTCATTTAATCTGCTTCCAAGGTGATATTCATTTATAGATTTCAAGCCTTCCTTGCATTCCTGGGTTAAGCCTGCTTTGGTCATCTTGTGTTATCTTTTCATACATTATTTATTTGGTTTGCTAAAATTTTGTTGGTAATCTTGCTGTTAAACATATTTTTGAGTGAACGGGCCAGTCATGTTTCCTGTGATGACTTTGCCTGCTGTTCATATCACTGTTGTACTGGCCTCTTGGAGGAGCTGGGGCATCCCCTCTTCCTATTCTTGGGAAAATGTGTGAGGTCAGAATGATAGGAAAGGCTACTAAAACCCAACTGTACAATCACCTGGGCCTGATATCTTCCTTTTAGGGAGACCTTTAACAACTGCCTCATTATATCTCATAGTCTTAAAGCTATTTATGTTATCTAATTAAGGCCATTTTTCAAGTTACTCTTTTCTATGAATTTTCCACTTCACCGAATTTTTCAGCTTGCTTGCCATAACATGTATGCTTTATGTCCTGATACGTTCTTCTGTTACGTTACCTGTGAGTGCCTTGCCTCCATTTCTACTTTTACTTTATTATCTCTTTCCTTGCATTTAATCTCTTACTCAGGTTCTAAATTAAAGTTGGACACTTTCAGCTTCTCTTCTTTTCTACTGTAAGTAATTAGGCATAAAAATCACCATCCACGGGCCTCCCAGTGTTTTTGGTGCGTGTTTTCATTGTTGTTCAGTTAGAGAGAGTGTGACATTTCCACCGATCCTTAGGCAGCTCAGGCTGCTATGACAAAAAATACCGTGGACTGGGCGGCTTAAACAACAGACATTTATTTTTCACAGTTCTTAGGACTGGAAGTTCAAGATCACGGTGCAGGCAGATCCCGTGTCTGGTGAGGGTCCCCTTCCTGGTTTGCAAACGGCCACCTTCTTGTAGCCTCACTTGGCAGAGAACAGAAAGAGGAAGCAAATCTCTCAAGCCTCTTCTAATAAGGCGCCAGTCTCACCAATGAGAGTTTCACACCCTCATGACCTCATCACCTCCCAAAGACCCAGCTCCGAACATCACCACATCAGGATTTCAACATGGGGAACTGGGAGGATACAGCACGCAGTGCCTAACTCACTGGGATTACATTTTAATCCATAGTACCGCAGAAGTATATTTATAATTTACTAGTACAAATGCATGGTTACTTATCTGTTGTTTTTTTTTTTTTTTTTTTTTTTTGGTCTTGTTCTGTCGCCCAGGCTGGAGTGCAGTGGTACTATCTCAGCTCACTGCAACCCCCACCTCCCGGGTTCAAGTGATTCTCCTGCCTCAGCCTCCTGAGTAGCTGGGAATATAGGCATGTGCCACCACACTGGGCTAATTTTTGTATTTTTAGTACAGACGGGGTTTCACCATGTTAGCCAGGATGGTCTTGATCTCCTGACCTCGTGATCCGCCCGCCTCAGCCTCCCAAAGTGCTGGGATTACAGACATAAGCCATCGCGCCTGTCTTACCTGCTTTTCTTACTGTTTGACTGGGGGTGGCGATTACAGTGTGGTCATGTGATAAACGTGGCATTTCGGAGGAATCTGGGCCATTAGAATGAGATGAAAGTGTTGAACGCGCAACTCAAGCTTCTGCAGCAAGCACCTGCCTGTGCTTGGTGTGAGATGATTAATGTGGCAGATGGGTGGGGAGGGGGAGAAAAACCGCCTGAGGGTGGGGAGGGGGAGAAAACCCGCCTGAGAGGCACCCCTGGAACCCCTGGATCCTCTCCCTTTTGCCAGATGTGAAGTTGAAACACTAAGTTGTGTTCAAGAGCCAAGTGGAGCCACCCGACAGTCCCAGAGCCCAGCAACCTGGCACAGGGCCTGGGGCATGGCTGCCGCGCTCAGGCAGCTGTACCCCGCCTTGCATCCGCCCAGGATGCCTTGCACACCCCGAGACCCGGCTGCTTCTATCTTCCTGGCTGTGTCATCGCACAGCTGAAAGGAGTCTGGACCAGACAGCTCTGTCCGCAGTCAGAACTGAGGGTAAGCGCGGTCCTGTGCACAAGTCAGCAAACCGGAGAGCCAGGGTGCCAGGCACTGACCCCATTCTATAGCCATAGAATCAAGGCTCACGGAGCCCAATCAACAAACGCTCCAAGAGTCCAGGAAAAGGTCGAGGGAAAGAAATAAAGGTGTGACCGGGAGAAGAGTGGGGAAGGAGCCGACTCAAGGCTGAGTCCCGCAG
This sequence comes from Homo sapiens, assembly GCF_000001405.40. Taxonomy (NCBI): domain Eukaryota; kingdom Metazoa; phylum Chordata; class Mammalia; order Primates; family Hominidae; genus Homo; species Homo sapiens. Next base: position 117,908 of record NT_187573.1, read on the forward strand.
CCCCGTGAGGGCGGAGTGGAGGTTACGGGGCGGGAGCGGGACGGGAATCTGAGCTCCCAGCAGCCGAGCCGAGAGGAAACCCCTGCTCCTGCCCATGAGCCCAGCAGAGCACATGCCCTGGATGTCGAGACGCGGTCCACAGAGAGATGGGCTCCTGTGACTGTCCTCGGATAGGCCTCTGGACGCCACGCCCTAGTGCAGCTCAGTGAAAGGAGCTCCATGGCGTTTTCTCACACGATTCTATTGCAGCTGACGGTAGTGAGGTCACGGCACGCACCTTGCTGATGACCGGGGTTCAGCCAGACGTAACTCTGGGAAAACAGACTGAGCTCAGCCCTTTCAGCCAGCGGCCATTCAGCTTTTCTGACCATGGCCCATATCAACAAACACAATATGGTATGTGAGCGTATACATGTGCACAAACACGCAAATGCACCCTCACACAGGTACACATGCACGCCCTCACACGTGTACACACACCCTCACACGTGTATACACCCATACACGTATACACCCCACACACCCACATATATGTATACACACCTTCACACATGTAACACACCTTCACACACCCCACACGTGCACACACCCACACATACACACCCTCACACGTAACACACCCTCACACACGTAACACACCCTCACACACGTAACACACACCCTCACACATGAACACCCCCACACACGTGCACACCCCCACGCACGTGCACACACCCTCACACACGTAACACCCTCACACATGTGCACACATCACATATATACACACACCCTCACACATGTAACATGCCCTTACATGTAACACGCTCACACATGCACACACCCACGCATGTATGCACATCCACACGTACACACCACACATGTACCCACACATTACACATACACCCACACATGTACACACACCCTCACACATACACATACCTCCACACATGTACACACACCCTCACACGTGCATACATGCACCCTCAAATGTATGCACCCCACACATGTATACACACCCCCACACATGTATACACACCCCCACACGTAGCACACACCCTCACACATGTACACACGTGTGCACACACCCTCACACGTACACTCATACACACACGCACCCTCACACACATGTACACACCCCCACACATGTATACCCTTAAACGTACACCTTCACACATGTATACACTCACATGTACACACCTCACACATGTACACATCCTCACATGTACGCACACACCCTCACATGTACACAAACCCCCACACACATACACCATGACACATGTAAACACACATACACCCACACATGTACACACTCACACATACACATGCACCCTCACACGTACACACATACCTTCACACATGTACACACAACCTCACACATGTACACGTGCACCCATAAACGTACACACCCATGCACACACCCACATACATGTGCACACACCCTCACATGTACACAACCCTCACATATGTACACACACGTACAAATACACCATGTACACTCACATGTATACACACTCACCCTTACACGTGTACACATGCACACCCTCACACGTGCACACACCCCCAAACATGTATGCATCCTCACATGTACATGCACACGCACACATGCATGCCCTCGTGTGTACACGTGCGCACACACACCCTTGAACACATATACATCTTCACACATGTACACACACCCTCACATGTACACACATGCACCCTCAAACGTACAGATCCTCACACATGTACACACACCCTCACACATGTACACACACCCTCACACATGTACACACCCTCACACATGTATACGTACGCACACCCCCTCAAACGTACACACCCTCACACATGTACATGCACACACATGCACACATGCATGCCCTCGCATGTACAGGCACACCCTAATACATCCTCACACATGTACGCACACAAACCCTCACACGTACACACACCCTCACATTTACACACTCAAACGTACACACATCCTCACACATGTACACACACCCTCGCACATGTATACATATGCACACCCTCACACGTACGCACACCCCCTCAAACATGCACACATACACGCACACACATGCCCTCACATGTACATGCACACACCATCAAACATGTACACATGCACACTCGTACACACACCCCCACACACACACTCACACACGTACACACACCCACATATGTACACACCCTCACACACATGTACACACACCCTCACACATGTACACACCCTCACACGTACACACATGCACCCTCACATGTACAGCCTCACACATGTACATGCACCCACACATGTAACACACCCTCACATGTAACACGTCACACGTACACATGCATCCTCACACACACACCCTCACACATGTACACACCCTCACACGTGCACACATGCACTCCCACATGTACCCCCCACCCCCCCACGTACACATACAGGTACACACCCCTCACACATGTATGCACACACCCACACGTACATTCACATACATGTGCACACACCTTCACATGTACACACAGACCCTCACACTGTATACATATGCATACCCACACGTACACACACCCTCACATATGTACATGCACACATACACATGCCCTCACATGTACACACACACCCTCAAATGTACACACATCCTCACACATGTATACACACGCACCCTCACATGTACACAGCCCTCACACATGTACACACCCTCAAACATGTACACACATCCTCATACACATGCACACCCTCACAAATGTACATGCACACGCATGCCCTCATATATGCACGAGGACACACCCTCAAACATGTACACACACACATCGGCACACATGCATACACATGCCCACACACTCATGTACACACATACACACCCTCACACATGTACATACACCCTCACACACACCCTGATAAATGTACACACACACCACACACCCTCACATATGTATACACACACCCTCACACATGCACACACGTGTACACACATGGAAAGTGTTACCATTTGCAACCCATCCATCCTCCCCTGGGGATGCTCTTGGAGAAAGAAATCAGACAAAAGAAAAGAATGTCCTTGTAAACACGCTAATGAGAGCTCCTGGAGGTGTCGACTGTGAGCACAGAAGAGCCTTCTGTTCAGGATTAAACACATCTGGGCTTATGGCACACGGCCCACTGGAAAATGTCAGTGCCTCTGGCAATTTCTAGAGTTTAAAGGGAAAAAGTTTCATAACGGAAAGAGCCCCCTTTGGGTAAGAGCTGCCCCTCCTGTACCACGGGGAGCTTCCTACCCTAAACCTTGATGCAGCGTGCCTCCATGTGTCAGGGACGGGGGTGGGGGTCGGCGAGTGGGCAGTCCCAGTGGTCCCCTGGCTTCCCCTGGCTCCCAGGCAAACGAGACCATCCCGCTCTGCGTGCTGTCTCCGGTGGGCACCACGAGCAGCATGGCTGTTTATTATCTAAGCTGAGGTTCTCTGAGGCAAGATAAGGGGGCGCGGGAGAAGCTTGCTGAGGACGAGGCTCCAGGTGGCTGTCAACCTGTCCCTGATACAAAACGCTGACAGCCTTGGGGCTGGCCACAGGGAGCACACCTTACCGAGGGGACGGAGAGGAAGCCGACCTGGGGCGGGGAGCTGGCCAAAGACCGGCACAAGGGAGGCGAGAGAAACAGCTCTTCCATGGCAGGTGCCACTGACACCCAGACAGAAACAAGGCCACTGGAAGAAGCAGCTGGGGCACAAGAAAGAAACCAGACCCGGTCCTCGGGTCAGTGCAGTCTCCTCTCTCCAGTGGCCAATTAAACAGATGTGACATTCATCCAAAAAGTAACTCAGCTGAGAAACCTGACTGGCTGCAAACCCATGCTGCGGGTGGAAGGGCATGGCAGGCGGCTGCGGAAACCCGAGGGTCCTCTGAGAAGAGCCAGGACATTTGGGGAGAGCGGCAGGCAAAGCCCGATGGCTCAGGATGGGCACAGTTTCCTAAATTATCAGTGCGAGGGGCGGGCACACCACTGATTCTAGATACCACTGCATGGAAGTGATGGTCAGGGCCAAGAACCAGTCCCCAAGACGCTGCAAGCTCTTGTGATCAAATGCTTCCAGGTGGGTCCATACGTCACTTGCTGCAGGTGGCAAAGGTGGGGGTTTTACCCTGAGAGGAGTGACTGCCCCCCACCAACCCACAAATGGCATCTTGCTTCCAAAGCTGTTGGGAAGTTACAAGTGCAGGTGACCCTAGGCTGGCTTTACGGTGAACAAGGGGACGCCTAATTTAATGCCATTGACACCAATGTTGCCACTAAACAGAAGCCCCTAAGACTGAAACTGTATAGGTTTTTGCAAAATTACATTCCTCATCCAGAAATCCTGTGATTCTAGTCACAGTGTCACTGGGGGAAAGACCTCGATGTGAAAGGGCCCTGCCCAGAAACAAGCTGGGACATGGCCCAGGCAGCCCACGGGGCCACTCAGGTGCTACTGGGAGGGCCCAGGTCTTGGTCAGAAAAGATTGGCTTTTGGCAGAAATGCAAATCACGTTTGGGGCCCAGGGGCTACCTGATGCATTTCTTTCATGTTGCCTGGGAGACCACCGTGAGCTGGCAGCCGTGCTGGGAAGATGCCCGTGCTGGGGCCCTCGCTGCACTACGAGCCACCACAACCCCACAGTGTGGGTCAGTGCCTGTTGACTGCCTGGCAGCTCCAGAGGGGTAGGAGTGCGAGGGCTCGGCTGGGCGGGGTCTCACAGACTGCAGTTGAGGTGTGACAGCTGGGCTCCTGGGTGGAGGCCCAGGGCTGTTCGGATGGATGGCAGACTCTTTTCCCGGCTGTAGAGCTGCATTCTCCGTCTCCTTGCTGGCGGTCAGCAGGACCTGGTCTCCACCGTTCAGGCTGCCATCTCGCACGGCCCCACAGCACTCTTCCCTGGCCTCTGACTCTTCTTCTGCTTTTAAAGGGCTGGCGTGATTCGACCAGGCCCACCTGCATCCACGGACCCTAAGGTCGGCTGACCTGGGACACACGGCACATCTGCAACGCCCCTTCCCGGCAGCACCCACGGGTATTGGAGGAGTGGTAGGGGATGGGGGAAGGAAGCTTGGGTGGGTGGGTCATTGGAACTCTTGTGCATGGAAGAGCGTTAGATGATCCCGACACCAGAAAAGTTGGCCACGTCCCAGGTGGCGTGAAGAAGCACTGGAGAAAGAGGGGCAACCCATGAAAGCCCCTTGGCGGGTTTAATGTCCAGCGGCAACAGTGAGGGGCCCAGCGGGGCATGGGTGACAGGGACCAGGTTACCAAGGGTCTGGGCGGGGAATGGCAGGGCATGTGAGGGGTATGGTGGGGAATGGCGGGGAATGGCGGGGCATGGGAGGGGCATGGGAGGGACATAGGAGGGACATAGGAGGGGCATGGCGGGGCATGGTAGGGCATGGCAGAGAATGGCGGGGAATGAGAGGGGAATGGTGGGGAATGGCGAAAAATGGCGGGGGAATGGGAGGGGCATGGAAGGGAATGGGAGGGAATGGGAGAGGCATGGCGGGGAATGGCGGGGCATGGGAGGGACATAGGAGGGGCATGGGAGGGACATAGGAGGGGCATGGCGGGGAATGGCAGGGAACGAGAGGGGAATGGTGAGGAATGGCGGCAAATGGCGGGGGAATGGGAGGGGCATGGCGGGGAATGGCAGGGCATGGGAGGGACATAGGAGGGGCATGGTGGGGAATGGCAGGGAGTGGGCTGCACAGAGACCAGCTTGCTTTGCTGCCCAGAGGGCTGTAAAGCAGCCCCCGCGGACCTCCTGGCCTGGCCCCTGCATCAGGCGGTCCCCCAGCCGGCAGAGCAGGCTGCCTGGCCCGGACTCTTCCCATGCCGGGGGCCCTTCTGCTGTTTGTAAATCAGCTTCCCCACGCCACACAGGTGGAGGCAGGACAGGCAACCTCCCTAATGCGGGAGCTGAAAAGGAGTGAAAAAGGAGTCAGGCCCCTGCTCTGGGGGCGTTTAGGGATTTGCCAACTCGGGCTGGACAACGGCCCCGCAGGATGCCAGGCAAATGCACCCCAGAGAACTGGACAATTGGAAAATCCCCAGGGTGCCCTCAGGAATGGGAATTCCTGCCAAAAACTCCTGTTGCCAGCTCAGAAGGGGTTGAATGGTAGCGCCTTGGTCAGATCCCAGAATGCGCCCAGCAGGTTAGGGAAGGAGCCAGCAGGAGGGAGCATGGGGTCCCCTTGTGCCCAGCGCAACAACTAGCATGAGAAGAAACCACATCCACCGCTGACCAGAAAGCATTTGCAAATAGCTTTGGGTGGCACCCCCGAAGGACAAGGCCTGGCCACAGCAGGCAAGGGGGACCCTGGGTGCCTATGGCCTATCAGGAGGCCCGGAACCAAGGGAGCACTCAGGACACACCAAGCAATACAGGACACACCAAGGAGCTCTTCCCATCCCAACACAGCCACAGGCACTCTTGCACCAGATGTGGGCAGGGCCTTGTTTCCTGCACACCAAGCAGTGCTGCAGGACACTGTCTGAGCATCCTACGGTTTAAGTCATTTCCCACCGCATCCGCCTGGAGGTAGCGTCAGATCCCACAGATCGAGGGCTCAGTCCCGTGCAAGGGGCCCCACTTCTGATGCCAGTTGCAAGCCCCGGGTGTGGCTTCTGACGGAACTGCCATGAATCAGGGTTCCCACAACCCCCTCCTCCGGTTTGATGAATTGCTGGAGTGGTTCACAGGACTCAGGGACACGCCGCCCTGCGTTTACCCATTTATGACACAGGCTGTGACGAAGGTGCGGAGGCACGGGGGGTGGAGGAGACAGGCACGTACATGTGCAGCTTCCAGACAGCCCCAGGCCTCCACCCAACATCCGCGCATTGGAGATGGGAAGTTCCTTGGGTTTTGCAAGGCACAGGGGAGAATGGCAGAGCTCCTGTGCCCTCCTGGGCGCCGTCCTCCAGGCACCTGCGTGCGTCCAACTGTTGAAAGCTCCTTTTGGGTTTTTATGGAAGCTTCATTACATATACATGATTGATTGCATCGTTGGCTATTGATGATCAACCCAAACTTCATCACACTCACTACAAAAGAGACTCTTGTCACTCCAGAGATTCCAGGAAGGAGCTAAGCTGTATCTCACGCTCTCACGACACTCTATTCTGGACTTGGCTTATTTGTAACAGAAGCAACCTTGGGAACAGCATGAGGTGTTTAGAATGGTGAGTCCTCTGTCAATTTCAGCCGACTTGGACCTACTTCTTCTGATCCAGGTACCCACTCTTGCTGGCACCAGGACACTGAGACGGTCCAGGAAACACGGCAAGCATACGTGTGCACCACACTGCTCGTCCCGTCCAGCTGTGGCCATGCTGAAAATTGCAATGGGCCACTGGAAGACAGGTTATTCAGGCAGGTGTGAGAAACGTGACCAGTTGGTGGAGTCGCTTAACTGGGGTGTCTTCAGACTGAGCCTGAGGGGAAGGCAGGCAGGCCGCTCACAGGCTTCAGGGCTGGGGGAAGGAGGAGGGCGTGTGGGGGGTGCAATTGGACCCTCTGTACCTTCCCCACCTCCCAAAGGTTTCTCTTCTTCTGCCTGAGCCAGTGGTCCCAGGACCCCATGCCCAAGCACTAAAGTGGGCGGCACAGGCTCCAGAAGGGACATTAGACTGGTCATGACTGGACCCCATGGCGGGACTTCCTGCAAATGTGGCCAGCAGGAGGGCTGCCCCGTGGCTCCTCACCGGCGAGTCCTGTGGCAGCAGCAGGCCGAGACACAGCACCACAGGGCTGTGCCGGGTGCCTGCTCGAAGGCAGAGCTGCAGTGGGGGATCCAACAGGAACCGTGGAAATGGGGGGCTCCTGCAGGCAGGGGGATACCCACAGGGTCCCGTGATCCTGCAGGGGTGCAAGTGGCTCCTTCCGTGATGGCCCTAGAGCAAGAGGGTAATACTCTTGCCACCTCTCCCAGACCTGGGGCCAAGTAAAGGCTGATGATAAAGAAGCCAGAGGTGCTTTTCCCAGAGATGGGAATCGGATTCCTGCTGACTTCACCTGAGTAATTCAGAGCACGAGGGAAGCTGCACCTCCAGGGGCGCTCCTGACAGGTAACCCACTGGAGCTGCTATTCCGCAGCAGAGGCACCAGCCAGAAAGATCCGAAAGAAACATTTTCAAAAGTGGACCAAGATGGCTGCAGTTTGGCCACACGGGTAGTAGGAGGCAGGCCTGGCCTATGAGGCTGGAATCTGCATTGTCTCACTGACGTGTCCTGGTCACTGCCGTGCCTGTCAGATGAGGCAGGACAGAACAGTCGCCCCTGCAGACCCTGAGGCTCCAGTAGGTGCCAGCTTTCCACCCTGTGTGCCAGCCACGTGTCCACTCCACCTGTGTACAAGGCACCGAGGCCAGGCAGGACTGCGAGGTCCCCCTGAGCGCACTGCCCCTCTCAGGCTGTGGAACCACCCCTCCTGCCTCCTCAGCCGATGGAACCTGTGTTCCGGGTTGCCACTCACTCTTGGCTCAGCATAAAACGCACTTTGGCTTCTCTAAGTCTGCAGTGCCCATGAGTGCGGCCTCCAGCCGTCGCTGCCGTCTGCCCCTCTCGGAGGACAGATGAGAACAGTGCAGGGATCCCAGGGTGGGGAATGCCCAGGAGCCTGGCCTCCACTCTGGGGTGACCCCGGACCTGCCAGGCGCTGCCTGCATGTGGAGGGGGCATTGCTGCCTCCTCCCTGCCTCAGAGCTTGATCTGCGAGTCCGAACGTGCCAAGTGTGAACCAGCCCCAGCGATCTCCAGGCAGAAACAGATGCATTGGTCTCATGAGGGTTGGCCCCACCCTGCTGAAGGTTTGGGGAGATTTTAGAATTTGGTCTTGGGGCCCTGAGTGCGGCAGAAACAGTGTCCCTGCACGCTCATCATGAAGAGCAGGAGGCTTGTTATCCTGAGTAGGGACAGCAGAGGGCGACCTCTTCCAGGATCCAGACACAGGCCCGGGAGGCTGTAAAGGCCACTCATACGGGAATCGATGGAAATCGGACACCCGTCCCCAGCCCTGGGCCAGTGTGCATCCTTCCTCACCCAGGAGGGGCTACTGAACACTCTCATCCCTGGCATCTGATGCTGTAGAGGTCAGAGGCCAGGTCGGGGCCGGGCAGTAGCCTGAGTCCTGAGGGAGCAGTGCTGACAACGGCCCCTCAACCCATCGCTGTTCTCCCGCAGCCTGAGTGCCACCAATGTAAAAGGACAGCTGTGTGGGCCGCATGTGCCCGGAATGAGGCCCCCTGCTCCCTCAGCCGCGTTCTCATGGGTGAACAAAGACCGTGATGGAACCCACCTGAGCCCCTGAGCCGGCTGGACTGGATTATCCTCCCTATGCGTGGATAATCAGAGCCGGGATTATTCCCCTTAAATATTCCTCTTCCCACTGGCAGTTCTGATTCTCTTTGGACAACTGTTAGGAAACTGAAAAACCTAACAGTGTGTCCTCCTTTCCTGGCCAAGGAAGAAACCACCGTTTAGCTTCTTCATGCCCCAGCCAAAGAGCAGGCGATGGAGGCCCAGAAAACCAACCCCACGCTGTCTGACACAGCTCTCGAGACCCGGTCATCTAAGGCAGCTGTTTGCAAGGCTCTCCTGGGCTGCACCTGCCACCACTTCTCACAACCCACCTTAGCTCCAGTCTGCAGAGCCCCTGCGAAGGCTGAGTTAGAGAACGCTGAGCCCCTGCTGCTAGCAGACACACAGGGTTAGGGTCCCGCAAGCCTCTGGCTCCGTTTTCATCAGCCGATCAATATATCATCTCATTCTCTGTGTTTCTATTTAAAGATCCCTTACTGAATGCACGTGGTGGCTTCATTAACATTGCAATCGGTGCCAAGCACCGTAAGCCTGGACAAAGCTTCTCTGACCCAGGCATTCCTTGCCTAGGACGTGAGGCAGCACCTCGGGACAATGCTTGGGGACATTGCAAACAGCAAAGTCACCCACAAAAAGCACAAAAATGCAAAAAAAAAAAAAATGGCACCAGATAGACCACGAAAAGGGCTCTTGATTGCAGCACAAGCTGGAGCAAGAAGGCCGCCCTGCGCAACCTCAGCCAAGAACGCACTCCGGTGACTCAGAATTGTCGCCGCTCCGTGCAAGTAAGTGTTTGGGGATTACAGCTTCTTTTTTTTTTTGAGACGGAGTCTAGCTCTGTCGCCCAGGCTGGAGTACAGCCGTGTGGTCTTGGCTCACTGCAACCTCCACCTCCCATGTTCGAGCGATTCTCCTGCTTCAGCCTCCCAAGTAACCACCACGCCCAGCTAATTTTGTATTTTTAAAGTCACGGGGTTTCACCATATTGGTCAGGCTGGTCTTGAACTCCTGACCTCGTGATCAGCCCACCTCGGCCTCCCAAAGTGCTGGATTTACAGGTGTGAGCCACCGCACCTGGCCTTACAGCTACATTTTAGCAAGTAGAAGAATCGCATACAGACTCCAGGAATGACAAGGATGGACTGTTAAGGAAATCTCAGTGGGGCACAGCACAGCGGAACCCTGGCACTTCCAAGAGTGCTTTTCAGGACACCAGCCAGTCCTTGCACACCAAGGTCACGAAGATAATTAACATTTGGAATAATTAATATCTAGAAAATGATTAGGAGCATTTACCAACATTAGTCTTAATATTTTTTACTATTTAACCCATCTCCCTTCTTTCCGGACACACTCAGCCACACCAGCTGTCCCTTGTTGAGACTTCTCCTGGATCAGGATGCCGAGCGTCTATCTCGTGTCCATTATAATTTTACAAAACGCACCTGTGCAGCCCTCCCCAGCCCCACCGTCGCCTGGCATCAGCACCCAGGGTCTCCAGCCCACTCCACTCTTCAGACTGGATCCGCAGTGACCTTTCTGAAATACAGATCAGGTCATGCCACTGATTAAAACCCTTCAATGGCTTCCCCAGTGCTTCCATTAGTCACCAAACAGTCCAGCCGCCCTGCAAAGCAGCCAGCACTGGGGACCCCTGTGGCTCTGTGCTCCAAACACCCTCTGCCTCCAGTCCAGCTGCAGCCGCAGAGCCGTATCCTCCAGCGCTGCTCCTGCACTGACCCTTCCTCAGAGGGGAGGACGCTTCGGGCAGCCACCTCCCAATCCCGCACTATTGCTTTGCCTCCTACCTGCCCCTGCGGCACTCACTGGCCTGGCCCTCAGGACACCCAGAGGAGCTTCCAGCCCGCAGTTTCAGTGGTGCCCAGCAAACAGCTCCTAGTGGCCTCTGAGGGCCTTGCCAGCGTGGACAGCTCCTTGCCAGTGGGACGGTTCCTTGCCAGTGTGGACGGCTCCTGCTGCAGCTCCCAAAGGGCGCTCTCCTGCCAGCCTTGGCTGAGGCGCTGCTGCTTCAGTAGGGTCTGAAGCTCAGCCTTGATGAGGGACCTCCCCCAAACACATTTGGCTCCGCCCAGCCCTCAAGCTGTGGTTGCTTTTGGGCCCGCCCCTCCTGCCTCTTAGAGGTCTCTGTGCCCCTTCACAGCTGTTCCCAATATCCAGCCCCTACTACCTGTTAATAACCCCAGTAAACTTCCCCTGCCTGCTGGCTGTGTGATTTCTGTCTCCTGGTGACCCTGAGGGAGGCACAGCCCTGTGCGGTCTGGTCTCCATCCTCCCACACGTCCTGCCTGTCTGGGCTCCAGCCACACGGGCCCCTGTCCCGCTCCGGTGGGTAATATGGTAGAGTTCAGACCAAAATGTCAGTCACATTAACACAAATAAGTGGGCTTCACTCACCTGTTAAAAACATTTTTAGGGCCAGGTGCGGTGGCTCACGCCTGTAATCCCAGAACTTTGGGAGGCTGAGGCGGGCGGATCACGAGGTCAGGAGTTTGAGACCATCCTGGCTAACATGGTAAAACCTCATCTTTACTAAAAATACAAAAAATTAGCCGGGCGTGGTGGTGGGCGCCTGTTGTCCCAGCTACTCAGGAGGCTGAGGCAGGAGAATGGCATGAACCTGGGAGGCGGAGCTTGCAGTGAGCCGAGATCGCGCCACTGCACTCCAGCCTGGGCAACAGAGCGAGACTCCGTCTCAAAAAAAAAAAAAAAGAAAAACATTTTTAGTTTGGGTCATAAAACAAGACCAACTATATGCCAAATAAAAGATATACACCTAAAAAATGATTCTGACAGGCCAAAACTAAAAATGTGGGCAAATGGACAATAAGAAAGCCAGAGTCATGACAAAATAAAACATTAAATGCGACAACAAATATTTTAATGCAAAAATCCGCAATTCATAATGTAAAAATAACAGTTATGACTATGCACCAAATAATAAAGCAGCCACTTTTATAAAGCAGACACTCCGGAGACAGAAGGAGAAATAAATACAAAAACACTAGTCATGAGAGACTTTAACATAGCACTGTTAGCATTCTATCAGTAAGGCCAAGCGGACGAAGAGTAGCTGAGGGCTTAGAAGACCTGTGTATCATACAGACATCAAAGATAAATGCAATCCTAGGCCGGGCGCGGTGGCTCACGCCTGTAATCCCAACACTTTGGGAGGCCGAGGTGGGTGGATCACTTGAGGTCAGGAGTTCAAGACCAGCCTGGCAAACATGGTGAAACCCCATCTCTACTAAAATAAAAATACAAAAATTAGCCGGGCATGGTGGCACACACCTGTAATCTCAGCTACTCAGGAGGCTGAGGCACGAGAATCGCTTGAACCTGGGAGACAGAGATTGCAGTGAGCCGAGATCGGGCCACTGCACTCCAGCCTGGGTGATAGACAGAGACTCAGTCTCAAAAAAAAAAAAAAAAAAAGGTAAATGCATCAAAAACACACTTTCTCACGTGCACAGAAAACACAGACTGTCGCTGACGCGGGATAGGTAAGGTCAGGAGGCCACATTGACTTGTCCCTTGTGTGAAGCCTCTTGGGCTCTCCGTCCCTCACCCCTTGTGCTCAGCACCCAGCTCTCTTGCAAGGTCAAGAGCCCTGCCAGACACCAGCAGATGGCCAGATGCTTACAAGTTCCTGATACCTGATATGGCAGGAAAGAGAACAAAAGCCCCTTATTCCTGATGTAGCTTCGCCAGTCTCCAGCCAATCAGCACCAGAAGCCCATGAAGCCATCAGCGACACATTCCTGCCTCAGGGGTCCTGCACGCACAGCTAGGCTCAAGGTGTACCTCGTATTCGGTTGATGCAAAAGTAACTGTGGGTTTTGCCATTGAAAGTAATAGACAAAACAGCAATTACTTTCGCACCAACCTCATAGTAACCCTTCTCTCGTTTTTGTAGTAAAAAGCACACCCTGGATGGAGATGTTAAACGCTAGTGATCCATGTGATGCGTTCACCAGCCGCAGGTCCACCTTTGCACACCTGACTCACCAGGATTGTATGTACAGCTCCCACAAAGGGAATATCCCCCTCAAGACACCAGGGACTGCTCTCTCACTGAGCAGCCACTCTGTCTCTCAGGGTGGACTTTTGCTCTGCAATAAACTCTTGGCTGGGCATGGTGGCTCATGCCTGTAATCCCAGCACTTTGGGAGGCCGAGGCTGGCGGATGACCTGAGGTCGGGAGTTCGAGACCAGCCTGACCAACATGGAGAAACCCCATCTCTATTAAAAATACAAAATTAGCCAGACGTGGTAGCGCATGCCTGTAATCCCAGCTACTCAGGAGGCTGAGGCAGGAGAATCACTTGAACCCAGGAGGTGGAGGTTGTGGTGAGCCAAGATCGTGCCATTGCATTCCAGCCTGGGCAACAAGAGCAAAGCTCCATCTCAAAAAAAAGAAAAAAAAAAAAGAAAGAAAAAAACCTCCTTTGCCTGCTGTTTCTGTGGACTCGATCTCAAATTCTTTTGTGCAGCGAAGTTGGGAACCTGACCCGGCCACCCACAGGCAGCATCGGCACAGAAGGTCACAAAGAAGACACCAGGAAACCCCATAAGCGAGAAACTGGAAACCGCGCACTCTGGTCACGATGAAAAGATAATGAGAATTTATCAACAGTACTATTGTAAAGGGCCCTTCCACCCGGAAGTTTAAAAACAACTCTTGGGTGAAAGGAGAAGTCCAAACTGAAATTACAGAATGTCTTTTGAAAGTGTGATTGTAATAAAAACTTGTGGTTGCTGCCTGCTTTGCTGACGGTGGCTCATCCCCTGTGGCCAATCTGAGCTCGCCCTGGTGGGTGTGCACGGGCCTGACGCCCCCGGCTCTGCACCGCCCGCCTACCTGGGCCAGCCCTGGTGGGTGTGCACAGGCCTGATGCCCCCAGCTCTGCACCGCCTGCCCGGCCCCTGCACTGCTGCTTCCTGCCCTGCAGTTGCCTCTGACCCCGCAGCTCTGTTAGCCTTCGTCCATAAAGTCACACGGCACCCCTCAGAGAGGCTGTGGCTGACCACACCAGAGGGGTAGCCTCAGTCCTTACCATGAGGGCTATTCTTTCTGTCCTTTTCTTTCTTCTTTTTTCTTTTTTTTTTTGAGATGGAGTTTCAATCTTGTTGCCCAGGCTGGAGTGTAGTGGTGTGATCTCAGCTCACTGCAACCTCCGCCTCCCAGGTTCAAGCAGTTCTTGCGCCGCAGCCTCCCAAGTAGCTGGGATCACAGGCACCTGCCACCACACCCGGCTAATTTTTTTATTATTATTTTTAGTAGCGATGGGGATTCACCATGTTTGCCAGGCTGATCTCAAACTCCTGACCTCAGGTGATCCACGTGCCTTGGCCTCCCAAAGTACTGGGATTACAGGTGTGAGCCACTGCGCCCGGCCTATTCTTTCTTTTATAGCATGTATTGCTTTTTAAAATTGTGGTAAAATACACATAACATAGAATTTACCATTTGAACCATTTGTTAAGTGTACAGTTCAGTGGCCTTAAGCACCTTCGCACTGTTGCGCGGCCATCACCACCATCATCTCCAGCTCTCTTCACCTTCCCACACTGAAACTGTCCCCATCAAACACTCATCCCTACGTCTCACTCCCCAGCCCCAGCAGACACCATTCTACTTTCCATCTCTATCGATTTGACTACTTGGCTGGGGCGCGGTGGCTCATGCTCGTAATCCCTGCACTTCGGGAGGCCAAGGCGAGAGGATCACATGAGTCCAGGAGTCCCAGACCAGCCTGGGCAACATGGCCAGACCCCGTCCCTACAAAAACTACAAAAATTATCCAGGCATGGTGGTAACTGCCTGTAGTCCCAGCTACTCAGGTGGCTGAGGTGGGAGGATCACCTGAGCCCAGGAGGTTGAGGCTGCAGTGAGCTGTGATTGCGCCACTGCACTCCAGCCTGGGCAACTGGGCAAGACCTTGTCTCAAAAAAAAAAAAAAAAGATCTGACTACTCTAGAGACTCCTTAAGGTGCATCCCTGTTGTAGCAGGTGTCAGAATGTCCTTCCTTGTTAAGGCTAAACAGTGTCCCATTGAATATATATTTCATGTTTCATGCATTCATCTGTCAGTGGGCACTGAGTCGCTTCCTTCCACCTCTTGGCTGTTATGAACAATGCTGCTATGACCATGGAGGTACAAAAAGCATGTATTGCCTTATTTTTTTAAGACAGGGTCTCACTCTGTTTTCCAGACTGGAGTGTGATCTCGACTCACTGCAGCCTTGACCTCCCCAGCTCAAGCAATCCTCCCCACTGAGTAGCTGGGACTACAGGTGGCGCCACCACACCCAGCTAATTTTTCTATTTTTTATGGAGATGGGGGTCTCACTGTTTTGCCCAGGCTGGTCTTACACTCCTGAGCTCAAGGGGTCCTCCCACCTTACCTCCCAGAGTGTTGAGATGACAGGCATCAGCCACCGCACCTGGCCCATGGATTAATTTTTAAATTACCTCTTTATATGTTTAAATACTCTATATGTATCTCCTAGCAACCCCCCAGAGTGAAATCAATGGGGGTGAAGCCCTGGTCTCCTGTTTGCCCATGATATGATGCACGTGATGTGACATCATGTGACATGATAGCCTGTGATACGATAGCCCATATGATGGCCCGTGATATGACAGCACATGACATGATAGCCCATGATATGATAGCCTGTGATATGAGAGCACATGACATGATAGCTCATGATATGATAGCCTGTGATATGAGAGCACATGACATGATAGCCCATGATATGATAGCCTGTGATATGAGGACCCTTGATATGATACATGTGTCCCATGGCGGGCATTCTCCATATTGTTTTCAGAGGTGGCTCAGCGGCTCCTCTCATATCCCTTCATGATGTGACTTAGTCAGTGCTCCTGACCCTTGGTGGAACCTCTGTCCTCTTCCCCATGAAATTAACCAGCCCCGTGGGCTTTGACCACTGAATAGGAAAGGATGCAATGCCGATTCCAGGCCAATTCTAAGTGGCCTGGCAGGCTTTGCTCTTGCTCTCTTGGGAGTGCTCGGTCAAAAGAAGTCCAGGCTGCCCTGCAGTTCTCCACAGGGAGAGATTTTGTCCCCAGAGGACATCTGGAGGCATATTTAGTTGTCACACTGGGTGGGGGGATGCTACTGCTGTCCAGCAGGTGGAGGCCAGGGGTGCTACTAAACCCCCTTCAGTGCACAGGGCAGCCCACAGCAGAGAACAATCCGGCCCAGCACCAACAGCTCGTAGTTAAGAAGCCCCACGCTAAAGACTGAGTGGACAGAGAGGCCCTGAGATAAAGGGCCACGGAGGAGACAGAGGCCCAGCCCTCCAGCCAGGGTGCCCCCAGTCCAAACTGCACCTGCATGAGTGACCCTGGCTGGTACCACCTGCAGCAGAAATGAGCCACCCTGGCTGAGCCCAGCTCAATCAACCTGCAGAATTGTGAGAAATGATAAGACAGTCATTTTAAAGTCACCAAGCTTTAGAGTGGTTTGTTACCAAGAAATACATATCTGAAACGGCAATCAATAAATATCTGTTGAGTAAACGTAACCCTCCTGCAGTCGCTAATTCAGAACCATTCTTTGGTTCCACTGAACTGAAGCCCTTACGGCCAAGTGGAAGCCTCGCCCACAGCCTCGGGGAAGTCAGGTTCACAAAAACATTTTTTAATTGTTTCTTCTTTGAGACAGAGTCTCGCTGTATTGCCCAGGCTGGGGTGCAGTGGTACAATCATAGCTCATTGCAGCCCCAACCTCCAGGGCTCAAGCGATCCTCCTCCCTCAGCCTCCCATATGCTGTGACCACAGGTGCACACCACCATGCCCGGCTTATTTATGTATTTATTTATTTATCACAGAAACAGGTCTCACCATGTTGTCCAAGCTAGTCTCGAAATTCTGGGCTTAAGGGATCCTCCTGCCTTGGCCTCCCAAGTAGCTGGGACCACAGGAGCCCATCATCACGCCCAGATAATTTACTTATTTTTTTTGTAGAGACAGGGATCTCACTATGTTGCCCAGGCTGGTCTCAAACTCTGGGGCTCAAGGGATCCTCCTGCCTCATCCTCCTAGAGTGCTGGGATTACCGGCATGAGCCACCGCACCCGGCCCTAAAATCTTGATCCATATCAGTGTTTTACCCAAGCCAAAAACATTGCCAAACCCCTAAAACTAAACCTGGTTCTGGTCACTTCTTTCTCGAGCCACAAAAACCAAGGTTGATCATCAATGGCCTCTGAGTATTTCAAAAGCTTCTTATGGGAAGGTGGTATCTCGAGACACTGGCCTTGGAGTGAGGGGAGGGCCTTCCCCATCCCTGGGATGGGACAAGTTCACAGCAAACAGAGACACAACACCATCACCATCACTCCCCACAGGCCAGGGGAGGTGCAGCTGGCACGGCAGAGCCCGTGGGTCCCAAGGGCGACTTTCCTGAATTTTCCTGATATCTCCTGAGCCTCTGATTGCCCATTTCTTCTCTCTGTTGTTGTAGCGTTGAGAGAGAAGAGCAGAGCCTCTCCCATGGTGACCGCAAGCCAGGTTCCAGGTGGGCACTGAGTGTTGTTCAGCTCCCTTATGGGATAAATTTGTGATTTCACAGCACACTTTTTACTTGGAGCTGCAGCTTTGATTTGGCTAATAGGGTTAAAACAGTGGAAAGCATACACAACACAATTGTAAGTGATTTGGTTTTATTTATGTGATGCCAGCCTGTGCCTGTCAGCATCCTTTGATTTGAAAGCCTGTAATTCACATCATGGACTTCCTCTGCAGGCCATGAAAATTCAACTATTCAATTAACTAGATTTTTTTTAACTGACTGTTTATTGCTTCACTCTCACCAATAAGTAACGTTGGTGAGCTCGCTCACACGGGACCTCACGGGGAGGCAGAGAGGCCAGGATGGGGCAAGGGTTCCTGGCCAGCTCTAAAACGAACACGTCATTCAAGTAACACTTTCCCCAACTCAGCGGGGAAGGTGCCCCGTTCCCCGCTCCACAGCACTGTCGGGAAACTGCATTGTCTGCCCAGCAGAAGCGTAGCAACAGTCAGCAACGCCGCCTGCCAGTTCTAACACAGCGGGTCCACATTCTCCAGCCTCCGCAACACCTTCCCCTTTAGTGACTGTCGACATAAAAACATAGAGCAAAACATCGAAGTGAAAAACGGCTTTATTTGAGAGTAATATACAAGTAGGGTTGCCAATCGGGACATACATTCAGGTCAGGGGGTGCCCTCCGGTGTGGACGGAGAACAAAGGAGAGGTTTCCGGTTTTATGAAGGAAAGAGGAGGCGATGCAAGTTGTTTTAAAAGGAAGCTCATTGGCACCAGCAGCAACTTACAGGAGCGGACTGGCGAGCGTCAGGGGTTGCTGAGTGCCACTTGTGACCCTGGAGTGCGTTGCCCCGACGGGCGCACGCTGGGCCGTGAGACCGGGTGGAAGCGGCTAGCTGCTCTGCCACTGGCTGTCCTGTGTGACTCCTGGAGTGAGCTGCGGTGAGGGAACTTTTCTGGAGAGAGTTCCTGTTATCAGCCAAATCGTGGGTGAGACTCCCCCGTTCATGGCCTTCCCAGCTTTGCCAGGGTTTGACACGAGCAGCTCCATTTTTTTTTTTTTTTTTTTGAGACGGAGTCTTGCTCTGTCACCCAGGCTGGAGTAGGGTGGTGCGACCTCGGCTCACTGCAACCGCCGCGTCCCAAGCTCAAGCAATTCTCCTGCCTCAGCCTCCTGAGTAGCTGGGACTACAGGTGCCCGCCGCCACGCTCAGCTAATTTTTGTGTTTTTAGTAGAGACGGGGATTTTGCCATGTTGGCCAGGCTGGTCTGGAACTCCTGACTCCAGGCGATCCACCCACCTCAGCTTCCCAAAGTGCTGGGAGTACAGGCGTGAGGCACTGCGCCCCGCCTCCATTTTGCATCCGACAACGTTCACGCGACCAAAGAAATGAACTCGAGCCCCACCTTCTGCAGCCACAGGGACCTCGAATGCTGCGGAGCTTCCCACGGACACTTCGCTTCTCCCAGTGGCCGCCTGTCCACTTGGGTTCCAAATGCCTGCCCCAGTCCTCACCGCCCTCTGCCTGCTGCCCCGCCCTCTGGTCCCCACACAGCGCGCAGCCCTCCCTGGGCCCACTGGGCAGAGCACTTGGTGTGGCCAATTCTCAGGGTCAGGGTCAGGGTCAGGGTCAGGGATAGGCTTAGGGCTGCCTGATTCTCAGTGCAAAGGTGAGTAAAGCTCTGCAGGAGACTGAGCAGGGAGAGGCCAGGGTGAAGGGAAGGCAGGCGTGAGGGGACACAGCATTGGGGTGAGCAGGGTGCCCAAAGCTCACGTCCACCCAGAGCCTCAGAAGGACACCACTAAGGTAAGAATGGACATAAGACCATGCCAGATGGTCCAGGGGCCCCTAAATGTGATGACATGTGTCATTATGAGAGACAGTAGAGGAGAAGAGGAGAAGAGGAAGGCATGTGGAGGCAGAGGCAGAGACTGCAGAGACACGGCCACAGGAACGCCCGGACCCCTGAGGCTGGAAGAGGCGGCAAGAGCCTCCCCGGAGCCTTCACAGGAAGCATGACCCTCCCACCCCCGACACTTTGATTTCACACTGCTGGCCTCCAGGGCTGTGGGAGAATACGTTTCTGTTGTTTAATGCCACTGGCAGATGGCAACGTGCCACGGCAGACACGGGGGACCCACACAATGGGCAGCTCCTGCCGCTGGACCTCAGACCCTGTCCTTCCCTCCCCAGGAGGCCAGCTCACCCTCGCATGGGGGACCTCAGACCCTGTCCCTCCTCCTTCCCCAGGAGGTTCTCACACAGGACACCTGAGACCCTGTCCCTCCCTCCCCAGGAGGCCAGCTCGCCCTCACACAGGGGGACCTCAGACCCTGTCCCTCCCTCCCCAGGAGGCCAGCTCACCTTTGCACAGGGGGGACCTCAGACCCTGTCCCTCCCTCCCCAGGAGGCCAGCTCACCCTCGCACAGGGGGACCTCAGACCCTGTCCCTCCCTCCCCAGGAGGCCAGCTCACCCTCACACAGAGGGATCTCAAACCCTGTCCTTCCCTCCGCAGGAGGCCAGCTCGCCCTCGCACAGGGGGACCTCAGACCCTGTCCCTCCCTCCCCAGGAGGCCAGCTCACCCTCACACAGAGGGATCTCAGACCCTGTCCTTCCGCCTGCAGGAGGCCAGCTCGCCCTCACACAGGGGGACCTCAGACCCTGTCCCTCCCTCCGCAGGAGGCCAGCTCACCCTTGCATGGGGGACCTGAGACCCTGTCCCTCCTCCCTCCCCAGGAGGTTCTCACATGGGACACCTGAGACCCTGTCCCTCCCTCCCCAGAGGTCCTCACATGAGGGAACCTGAGACCCTGTCCGTCCTCCCTGGAAGGCCCTCACACCGGGGACCCTGCTGCCAAGGGCCCCTTCTCCCATCTCCAGCTCTGCAGGTCCAGGGGCCCTCAAAACCCTGCTCCTCTCCTCCCTGGGGAAATGTCCTTTCTTCTCACATTCCAAATCTCCCCCTTGCAGAAATACATTCATCCTGCTAACACTGACAGGCCCTAGAGTGGGAGGTCAGCCACGCCACTTAGGAAGCGGGGGCATGTCTCCCCGGAGACGGCATTTTCAGCACTGAACACAGCACTGGTCCCCCAGGACGATGACTCGTGTGTGTGGGGAGGACAGGCCTCACGGAAGGGGCTCTCGACGAAGGGGTCTCCTGAGGACCGTCCTGCAGCGGTGCCCAGAGCCAGAGAAGGGGACTGTCAGCTTCTGTTCCCAGGCCCCAGTTTTCCACAATGCTGAGGGGCCTGACACAAACACAACACTGAGGGCTTGGCTTTGTTTTGTCTTCATGTGAGAGTATTTCTCACAGCTCAGGTCATGATCTTTGGTCTGTGACACCCTCATCACTGGGTTTCTTCCTTCTTAGAAGAACATGTAAAAACCATCCATGAACTCTCACCAACATAAACCCTAGGCTTTCACTAGAATGTGCTGCCCTCTGTGGGGTGTCAGACCCCAAGCCTCTAGCCTCCCCTCCTAGGGTCCAAACACCAGACTCCAGAATCTTGAGTTGATCGTTCTTGGTCTCCTCTGATGGGTAGGTAGGTAGGCAGGTGGGTGGGCGGGCAGGCGGGCAGATGGATGGATGGATGGATGGATGGATGGATAGATAGATAGATAGATAGATAGATAGATAGATAGATAGATAGATAGAGCTGGATAGAGATTGAAGGAAATAATGCATACAGTGGTCCATTTCCAAGACAATGTGCCTTAAATCGCCTTAGGCCAGCAAACTACAGAAGAAACAGGATATACTAGGCCCCTGCTTGGACAGCCAGCACTTACTTGTTGCCCCCAACCCCCCTTAGTTGCCCTCACCCAAACCAAAGAAGTTTAGTCTAAGATGAAAGTTTACTAGCCTGCAAAATAGCTCGTTTTTTCTGTTCTTATCAGCCTGCCCAGCTACTTAGGTCATAGGTCAAATACTTGAAAGGCCCCCAAGCTGACTAGGATTGCAATGCATTGTGGGCCACAACAAAATGCAGCAAGACAACCCTAAAGAAAACACCTACAGCCCCTGCCCAACAACCAATAGGTGACGTCCAGGAAGACTGTGACCCCCATCATACTCAGCCTATGAGGAACCGGGGGAGAGACCTGCGCACTAGGGGATAAATTGCTTGTTGAAGTCGTGCTAGGTGTGCCTGTCCATCAGACACCCAACCTCGCAAGATCATCATTACAAGTCTCACTTTCACTGTTCTCCAAGTTTCTAAGTCCATTCTTTGGGTTGGGATGGGTAAGTTTGTTTCCCACAAGATGATAGAAAGATAGATAATAGATGGATAGATGATAGATAATAGATAGATAGAGACACACATAAATAGATGACAGAGAGATAGAAGAGATAAATAAGAGGGATAAAGAGACAGAAAGATGGAGATGTGACAGATGATGGAGAGGTAGATAAGTAGATGACTAAAGAGTTTCATGAAGTCCGTAAAGCTGTATTTTTCCTGTCGCATTTCTATAAAGCATTGTAAAGTGACTTATGTCAGAGCATTGGCTCGATGTGGTCTTCTGGGACCCCCTTGTGTACTTGGCTCAGCGCTGCCCGCACATGCCCACGCTGCTCCGTACTGTGGCTTGCTCACCGCCGTGTGCAATGTTCCTTTGCGTGTCACAGCGCTTCCTTAACCCATTCTCTGCTGAAGGCCATTTTGGCTGTTTCAAGACTTTTGGTCTTGTGAACAGTACAACTGTTCACAGTAACATTCACACCCACGTCTCCTGATATTCACATGCAAGACGTTTTTCTGGGTGATATGCCAGAAAGAGATTGCTCGGGTATGAGGGACACAAACATTCACCTCCACAGAATCCACCCCACTGTCTCCCCACATGGCTGTGCCAATTTATCTCCAAACTGCAGAGTCCACGAGATCCCAGCAGAGAACAGTCTCTGCCGCACGTGGCATCACCAGACTCTAAATGTTTGCTCATCTGCATCTGTGGCTGTCGCTCCCTGGGAGCTTCTGAAACAGAGCATTTCTCCTGTATGCAGGTCTGTGCTCTCGGCCCCGACATTGCCTGTCTTCTTTGTGACTCTGGGTGTCATTAATCTATTCTTGTACCAACCCTTTGTCGGGTACGTTTGTTGCATGTCTCTTTTTCCAGTTTGTGATTTAACCTTTTGTTTTAAGATACGTTTTAACAAATGAAAGTTTTTAATTTTCTTGTCAAATTTATCGATTTTTTGTTATGAGATTTTCTATTTGTGTCTTACTTAAGAAATTCTCCAAATCACACAGAAATTCATTTTTATTTTCTTGTAAAAGTTTTTCAGGGACCTGGTGAGGTGGCTCACGCCTGTAATCCCAGCACTTTGGGAGGCCAAGGTGGGAGGATCCCTTGAGGTCAAGAGTTCAAGACCAGCCTGGGCAACTAACTGTTCAGACCCCATCTCTACAGAAAGATTTTTTTTTTTCAATTAGCTGGACAAGGTGGCTCACATTTGTAATCTCAGCACTTTGGAAGGCTGAGAGGCAGGAGGATCACTTGAGCCCAGGAGTTCAAGACCAGCCTGGGCAACATAGGGACTCTCTATCTACAAAAAAAAAAAAAAAAAAAAAAAAAAAAAAAAAAATTTTAAATTAGCTGGACACTGTGGTGTGCACCTATGGTCCCAGCTACTTAGGAAGCTGAGGCAGGAAGATTGCTTGAACCTGGGAGGTCAAGGCTGCAGTGAGTCATGGTTGCGCCACTGCACTCCAGCCTGGGAGACAGAGCGAGACTCCATCTCAAAAAAAAAAAGAGGTTTTCAAGTTTTGCTCTTGACATTCACTCCCTTGATTGAGCCTGGATTTATTCTGTGGGTGTGGGTGGTGTGCGATGAGTACCCAATGGGACTTCCCATGCAGACAGCTCCCATCTCTGCTCTGTGTATTGAAGAGGGCCTCGCGACCCTGATCTGGCCCGCCCCTCCCGCACTGGTGAGCAGGCCTATTTCTGGGTGCGTTGTTCTGCCTCGCTGGGCAACTGTGGATCCCGGTAAGGACGCTGCACTCTCTTAACTGCCACAGCTTCAGCAGGACATGTGGTGTCTGCTGGCCCAGGTCTGCCTCCTCCATGAGCTTTTGCCTGGCTGTGATTCTCAGCCCCCTCCCCTTTCCAACTGCGGAACCTGGAGCAACTCAGCCCTCTCCCCACTTTGAAACGGGGACCACGTGGTGGCCTCCACCCAGGGCTGAGCTGCAGCTGGAGAGGAAACGCATGCTTGGTGATGGCCCCGCAAATGCCTCTGGTGTGTTCAGTCCCTAAATATTCCTTCTCTCACAAGAGTGTTTGGCCATCTGGGTTAAACACCAAGCTCCCTGAAGGCCCAGTGTCTGAAGGCACCAGGTCTCCGTTGCCAGAAACACACTGAGGCACAGAGGCTGGCAGCTGACAGCCTGCAGGGAAGCTGTCCCCAACATCCTCGAACTCTGGGATGCCTCACAAGGAGGCCCCTCCCCCCAGGAGTGAGGGAAGGAACCCACAGGCAGAGCCGGGCCAGCAGCTGGGACAGGGTGTAAGCCTGGCCCCCACACACACAGCTCGGAGGGCCACCCAGAGAAAGGTGCCTGCCCAGGAGAGGCAGGCAATGGCGGCCCCTCTAGCCTGAGCCCTGGACCACAGTTCTGGAGACATGGTGGGGGTTGAGGGGCTGAGGATGCACCCCGGCCCCGTGAAACCTGCACGACCCCCCACCTCCAGCAAGCCGAGATGGAGGCCCAGCTAGAGCAGCGAGCGGCCCCTCCAGAGGGCTCTGGAAGACACAGGGGACTTGAAGCCGTGGTAACCATGGCGACTACTGTGGGAACATCAGGGACATTTAACAAAGGACGACTTGGTTTTCTGATTTTAGCTCTGCTTCCCAGCCGTACCCTCCGATGCACAGCCCACCCCTTCTGAGACCTCCCCCAGATCAAGGTCACTTGTCCTGTGGTCCTGGGGGGCCCAGTGCAGAGGTTCCAATGCCCCCAGTGGCCACATGTGCTCAACCCCTCAGGTAGCAGACAAGGCCCAGCACCCAGGAGGGATTGGAGCAGGGACCCCAGGTAGACTTGGGGGAGATGGGTGTTTGGAGAGAAGGGGGATGAATGTGTTTGGAGAGAAGGGGGATGCATGAGTTTGGAGAGAAGGGGGATGGATGAGTTTGGAGAGAAGGAGGATGGATGTGTTTGGAGAGAAGGGGGATGGATGAGTTTGGAGAGAAGGGGGATGGATGTGTTTGGAGAGAAGGGGGATGGATAGGAGCTGCTGACACAGGGAGGGGGGTCCAGCCAGGGAGAGGGGTTCTTCCGCCATCACCATCCACCGCTCACGGACCACCCACCGGGCACGTGCCCCCTGCTATCCAGTCCCGCTCATCAAACACATGAATTCATGATTTATGGCAGATTCAATGATCATTCTTTATCCCTCACCATTTCTTTTTACTTTATTCATTCATTTAACAAAATTACCGATCATCTGCTGAGGGGCTGGCTGGACAGACCTGAATTCCGGGATCCCTGCTCCAAAGAGCCACACCCATCTCACCTGGGAGTGTGGGGACAGGGGAGGGAAGGCCAGGGTCAGTGGCCTGGGGAGGAAGAGTGCGAACCCAGCCCCAGCACCCACAGCCAAGCCACGCTGCTCCGAGCACCGCCATGGGCCAGGGAAGTCTGGGACCTGGCCTCACCGCTGCCTCAAAACCCTCTCTCACCCACCCAGAGATTTCCCAGCTGGACACTCAGCGGTTTTCCCAGAGCCTCTGGTTCTCCATTGCTGAGCCAGTGATGCATGGCTGCTTCCAGCCAGCCCCCAGTGCCGAGAGAAGGAGCCCCCGTGACATTAGGGGAACTTGAGGACAGTGGTGGGGAGGGCAGAGAGGCTCTGCTCTAGCCGGGGGATTCTGGAGCTTCAGCCAGGAGGGCCACTGTCAGGCGAGGGGCCGGGGGAGGCCCCCAGCCCCAGACTCTCCTGTTCCTTGAGGGCCTGACTCTCAGCCACTCCCACCTTCCAGTTCTCCAGGACGCCCCCACCCCAGTATCCTGCGGTGCCCACCTCAGCCCAGTCAGCATCGGGGGGCCCTGCCCCACCCATAACTCACCTATGCCCTCGCTGGGTGGCCCAGGCCCGCCCTCCCCAGGCCAGGTCCTGGGCCTCCTGGGCGCCTCCATCCACCCCATGCCCGTCAGGCCTCACCTCCTGCATCCCACCAGGACCTCCCAGATGGGCACCCACCCCCATCATGGGCTGCAGACTACAGCTGGCCAGCCTTTCTAGGATCCCAGACCTGAGCCCATAGCTGGGGCTCAAAGGCATTAAGGCCGGCCTGGTCCTCCTGGATTCAAGCTTCTTGGGCCACCAGGTTTTGTTCGTCACTGTCCTCTCTGTCCCCTAATAACGTTCACTGCTAGAAATGACCACCTGACACACCCTCCCACGCTCAGGACCTGGGGCACAGGCCTCGCTGGTAAAAGCCCACATGGGAGGGGAGTGAGCCCCGCAGCTCAGGCATCAAGACTGCAGGGAGCAGCAGGTGCCCCCATCCCAGCTCTGCAGCCCCTGTCTCCCGCTCTGGGCCTCTTGGTTCTGATCTGCTCCTCTCTGCGTGTCTTAGCTGTGCCGAGGGGGCACGGACAGATGCATTTCAAACTCACGTCAGCAAGCATGGACAGGTGCAGAAACCAACACAAGAGAGAATGAGCCACCGGGTGGAGTCAATCAATGAACACATTTAGCCCCCTCCCCTCCAGTTCACCCACACCCACCAGGTGGGGCTAGAGCCTTACAGTGGGAAGGGGCTCACGGGGGCCGGAGCATAAGGGGGGACCGCAGAGCCCAGGAGGAGCAGGGGCCACCGGCCACCCACGTGTGCAGGCCTTCCCTGCCCAGTGAGGGGACAGAAGACCAGGCCTGGGACTCCCGGGCACCCAGGATGGGACAGCACAGGGAGGGCCTCAGAAATGCTCCAGGGCAGAGGGACAGACGCCAGGGAGAGGCGATTCCAGGAACCACCCTCGTGTGCCCTTCTGGGGATGGGAGACGTCCCCTGCACCTGTGAGCTTAGGTCTGAGTCAGCATGTTCTGCATCCCTGCAGGAAACACAGGGAGCAGGGGTGGTGGGCCTGGGACCCCCTGGGGGTGAGGCGTGGTCCACAGGCCCCTAGGCTGCAGGGGCCACAGGTTCCTGCCCTCAGTGGAGGGAGGACTCACTGGAGGCTGGGTGTGGGAAAACAGCACCCCTATGCTGCCCGGCCCTGAATCCCCCAGCCCACAGTGCCAGCACAGCCCCAGCACACACGGGGCCTCGAAGTGCAGGGGTGAGCCCCAGGCCTGGGCACCACGCAGCTTCCAACTGGGTTCCTCCATCGGGCGCTGGGTAATCGCCAGCCCTGCTCCGCCTGAGAAGAAAGCAGGAGAGGTTCCCTTTAAGCATCGGAGGAGGGAAGATTTTTCTATGACTCAAATCCTGAAGCTGTAAGAAATAATGGTAATAGTGTCTCCATAAAAATTCAAGGAAAAGAAGCTTCCATGTGGCAAAAAAAAAGAAAAAAGAAAAAAAAACTCACAAAACACCATAAGCAAAATAAAGGGGGAAATGTGTGTCACTCTTATTATAAATGAAGGGCTTATTTCCCAGCTATGCAGAAAGTTCCCAGAAAAGAGTAAGGAGACCAACCATCCCACAGCAAAGGGACCGAGGTTATGAGCAGAGAGGCCAGAGAAATGGAAACCATCCCCACACACCCCCCAACAAAAGACAAAGAAATCAAAATGCCCAGAACGAGAAGACGGGCATGCACGAACCAATAAGGGGCACGTGCCAGGAGCCAAGGGTGACGGCGCCTCCAGGTCCCCATACCTGTGGTCCAACTTCCAAAATTCAGAACACAGCTGCAATGCCGTCTTTCATTGCTGACCAGACTCACGGAAGTCCAACGGCAACAGAGAAGCTGTGGTCTCAGGCATCGCTACTGGAAGTGTGAAAGTGTGCAGCCCCAGGACAACCATGCTCACTCATCAGTTACAGGCCCAGCAAGACTGACTCTGGAGATGTGTCCCCACACGCAGCAGCTAGCTGACATGTCTGAGGCTATGCATTACAGCCTTGTAACTGGAGCATGAGTGAGACCATCTAAATATGCAGAAACAGGCCAGGCGCGGTGGTTCACGCATGTAATCCCAGCACTTTGGGAGGCCAAGGCCAGCAGATCACTTGAGGTCGGGAGTTGGAGATCAGCCTGACCAACATGGTGAAACCCCATCTCTACTAAAGATACAAAAATTAGCCAGGCATGGTGGCACACACCTGTAATCCCAGCTACTTGGGAGGCTGAGGTACAAGAATCTCTTGAACCCAGGAGGCAGAGGTTGCAATGAGCCAAGATGACACCACTGCACTCCAGCCTGGGCGACAGAGTAAGACTCTGTCTCTAAATAAATAAATAAGCAGACACAGGAGTATGTGTGCTGTGCGATGCTGCTGTTAAGAACGGAGTGGGGAGCTGGCTCTGCGCCATCACAGAAAGATCTCCAGGCTGCACTGAGAGGCAGAAAGAGTAAACGACCTCAGCTGTAAAGGACTTTCTTGTCCTTGTATAAAGACATCCTGAACGGGTACACAGGAAACCGGTCAGATAATGACAGGGCAGGAGACACACTTCTCAAGGTAGACTTCTTTTTTAATTGATGCAAGCGTTCTTACCTGTTTTTTTAAAAGAATCCAAACAGAGGAGCCCTTGAACCTCCTTGCCCCTTCCTGCTCCACGCCCCTGTCCCCAGCAGCCTCCCTCCAAGTAGGGTGAGGAAGGCACTAGCCTCCCTTCCAGGTGGCCTTGGCAGCAAGTGCTGGAGCTGGCCCTGCAGTGGGCCCCAGCCTGACCTGAAAGACCCACTGCTTTAGCCCCATGAGGCCCACGGGCTCAATTCCCCATGAGCCATGGACAGCAGCTCAGGCTGCCTGCAGAGCTCGTGTGCTCTGCCTTTCGCCTTCTCCCCTTCCCTGGACGGGGCTCTTCTCAGCAGCCATCGCTTTCCCAAACTATCCCATCAAAGCGGTTGTGTGCCTGTTTACCATCTGCACCACCCCTCCAAGCACAGGCCTGCGCACACACACGCGTGCTCACTAGAGGACAGCCACCTCCTCTGTCTCATCCACTGCTCTGTCCCCAGGACCTAGAGCCCAGCACTCAGCTCGCAGAAAGCAGAAAACTGAGCCCGTACGCATATAAAACTGTGGGCGTGCTCCTCCCCTTCCGACGCTGCACCCCCTGCTTCTTACCAGTAAGGCTGGTACCAACTCCTGGAGCCAGTGCTGGGCCCTTTACATCAGGGCTTCTAGGCGCGGGCCCTGTGCATCTGCCTTTGAACCTGCCTCCGAGGAGATTCTGATGCCCCTGGAGTTTGGGAGTGGATGGCCCTAGGGGAGCGTGCAGGGAGGAGATCCTGATGTCCCTGGAGTTTGGGAGTGGAGGGCCCGAGGGGAGCATGCAGGGAGGAGGAGGCTTTCCTGCACCCACCCAGCCTCCCTGTCTCCCTCAAGGGGAAGGGCCGCTTTCCTCCCCAACTTCGCGAAACTCAGGGAACTTCCAGTCTCCAGTGTGCGGATGTCGCGGGGAGGCCTGGGGATATCTGAAAACCACAAAAGTAAACATCTGTCTTGTAGAGCACGAAGAACCTGGGGGAGTTTGGAGAAAGCTACAGGCCCCAGGAATAAAGTTGAGGAGGGAGGAGTGTTCATTCTCCCACTTCCCGCCACCTTCCGTCCACCCTGCCTGGACCAGCGTTCTGCCAACCTGGAGCAGAGGGCCAAAGGCGGGCTCCAGGATCAGCCCCGCCCCCACACCCACAGCACCCCCGTGAGCTGGGTGTGTCCTGCCTCACAGACACAGGACCAGGCCCCGAGAGGCTGCAGAACTTGGCCAGGGTCACACGGCCAGGAGGTGCTAGAAGAGAAATTGGAATCCAGGTAGCCTGATGTCCTCTGCGAATCCACTGAAGGTTTTGGTATGTCAGTGTCTGACTTCTTAGCTGTTTCCCAAGATAAAGTGGGCACAGTTAGGCCTCAATCCAGCTGGAGGTCCAACACAAAGGAAGGAGGAGACGGCCTAGACAGGCCCCGGCCCCACACGAGGGGGCCCAGCACCCACTGATCTTGCAGCTTCCCTGGCCCAGCTACCTCCCCAGCCCCCGGAGAGGGGAAGCAGGAGGGCTTTGGAGGCCCCACTGGGGAAGGTGAACCCCACGGACCCCCAGGCAGCCAGACTGCCCCAGAGCATGGGAGGTGGGAAATGGCTGTCTGAGCTCTGATAAAGATATCAAAAGAAAAGCTACAGACACATCTCAGCCTGACTGTGATGCAGGTGTCTGCGACGCAAACATCCTAACCAAATATTGGCTATCTGAATTTGGCAGTGATTTAAACGAGTAATACATCACAAATGCCAGGGCAGCTCACCACAAGGAAATCTAGCAATGGAGCTCGCCGCACTAACTATTCATTAAATAGGAAAATATGGACTTAGAGCCATAGATCATGAAAGGGCATTTCTTTTAAGTTCATTCCTAATAAAAAGCTAAATGAAATATGAATAAGTAAAGAGTCTAGACTCAGTAAAGACTGATTTTGAAATCCAACAGCAAACACTAATTTGTGGCGTAACATGAAAGACCTCCCATTAGCACAGACACCCTGGTCACTGTTATTATTCAGCCATGCTTTGGAGGGCTCAGCTAAGGCAATAGAAACAAAAGCTGAACAGGCAATATAAGTACCGGGAAAGAAGCAACCAAATTATCTTTATTTGCCAATTATATGGTTATATCCCTTGAACATCTAAGAGATTCTGCTAATCGTGGAATTCAGGAAGATATGCATTCAGAAATAAGCAGCCTTCACTTACCGCACCTGTGGTGTCATCTGTGGCTGCCTCAAGTCACCTGAACACGCTCTGAACATTTCTGAAAGTTCTGCATCGTGAATCCCATCTTCCTGTTGCAGAATTCAGGAACTATATCGTGCAACCTCCCAGGCCCTAGGGTGTAGCTATGTGACTTCATCTCTGCCGGGGAGGCACATCCAGGCAGAACTCCTAAGGAAAGCTACGGAGGTGAGGTGCAGGCCTCCTTCCCTGGACAGGGGCAGGGGCAGCGGCCGTGCCAGCCAGGCCAGCCCTGGGTCTTTCCCGGAGGCCACGCCTGCAGCCTGAGGCCCCAGCCCTCCCTGCAAAGCCCCTGTGAAGCCCTCTACTTAAACTCACTCTGGTGGATGCTGGCCTGAGCGGGCAGGGGACACTTGGGTAGAGGAGCACAGCCCAGAAACAGCTGAACGAGAAACACGACTTTACTGTTCCTACAATTTCTATTCCTAGACCTCTCCACTCTACCGGCTGGCAGGAACATAGTCGTAGTGACTGCAGGTCCTCCATGCCTTCTTGCCCAGGGCTGTGTCTGTGCGGGGCTGTGGGCAGCAGGATGGCATATCTGTCCACTCAGGGTGTTTGTGGAGACACCACTGGGCCCTGGACCCTCAGCCCTTGGCCAGTGCCCGGTGCACACTGGCTGCCACCAAATGGCTTCTCCTTTATCTGCGTCCTAACCCCATCCTCTGTTGGTTCTGAGGCTGCCAGGGGCCCACCTGCCCTGACCACCTTCACCCGGGGCCACTCTGAGGTCTTGGTGCTCTGGGATTGCTGCCCAGGACGCCAGGTGCAACCTCTCTCTGGGACTCATCCCAGCCTCAGCCCTCAGCAGCTCCCCTTTCCCTGCCCGGGCTAGGGAGTCTCTCATCCTGGTTAGAGGGCAGTGCCTCCCTCCCGCTCTGTATCGTGAGACAAAGTAGCACACGTAGGAAGCTGTGTGTGCTCATCCTGCCTGCAGGCAGGATTTCCTGAGCTCCTGACTCAGGACTGGGTGCAGCTTGTGGAAGGATGCCCCGGAGGCCATGAGTGGGCTACAGACCAGGTCCCCGTTCTCCTGCCTGAGTCACTGGGTTTTTAGAAAGATGAGTTCAATGATCCTGACTCTTGCTTCTTCCTGCATGAAAGATGATGATGCTGACAGGATTTGCAATTATGCCCCTAGGATCCGTGGCCAGATGCAGCCACACACCCAGCCCTGAGGCTCTGCCCCACTGTCACACCTGGGTACGTGCGGAGCCGCTGCCCACACGCAGGTTGTAGGCTGGAACAGCTCTGGAGCAGCCTACTAGAAACTCTTGGAAAGACCCCTCGGTTGTCATATTTAGCAAGGCTTCTGAATAAAACTAACTTCCATCCTTTAAAGCCTGAGTTTTCTTGACCTGGCAGTGTCTTGAGATGTTCTGAGAGGTTCCTCCTCAGACTCCTCCCTCTGTCTCACTGTCTGCCTCTGAGGGGCCCACAGCCAGGTGGGTCAGGCTTCTGGAAGCACCAGGACAGGGTTCCAGGGGACCTTGGTGTTCTGCCCTATCAGCCCCTCCTCTCAGGCAGCAAGCAGGCCTAGTCCACCTGCTTCAACAGAGTGGGAGACTTACAAAAAGAAATCACAAAAAAATAAAAAGCATCCACTCATCGCACCAACAATGGCCAGAAAAATGTGAAGGTAAGAAGGGAAATCCAATTTGCAACACCAAAAAACCATAAATTACCCAGTAATAAGTACATCAAGGAAGGAGCACAGCCCATCACTCAGTCCGACTCAGTGGGACATCGCTCAGGAGGCCGAGTGAAGAGGCCAGACACCAAGCTGCTGAGCGGGAGACTTGAAGCAGCCAAGACCGCAGCTCCCCCAACCTCACATGCAAGAGAGAGACAGTCCCGCCGAAATGCTAACAGCGTTAGCATTTTCTGCAACCGGAAAAATGGATCCCAAAACCCATCTGTAAGAATAAATTGTGAGAAGTAGCAGTATGTGTTTAAAAAGAATAACGTGGGGCCCTTGCCTTAACGAGTGTAAAACACGCCGCCCGGCTGCCATCGTTGAAACAGCATCACATGTAGATGACCCGTGACGAACCGACCAGTGCAATCCCAGTGAGCAGCGGCTCAGAAACAGCCTGCCACACGTGGGAAGGCATTGTACTATAAAGGCGGCATCTCAGATCAACGGGCGAAAGGCGGGTTGTTTAATAAATGACATTGAGGAAAAGTGGTCATTTGGAAGAACCTCCTACCTCCTGCCACATTGTAAATAAACTCCAGATGGACTGGCTATCTGAATACAGTAACCAAATCTGTAAAAATATTAGAAGAAAATACGGAACTCTTTTCCTAAGATAAAGGTAGAGGAAATTCTCCTAAGACATGAAGCCCCCACACCATAAAAGAACAACTAGTCAGATTTGACTGCATCCAACGTTAGAACATCCATAAATGCACGCTGAAAACAACGCAAACAAGACACAGGCAACAGACGGCAAGGAAATATCCACACAACGTATGACACAGGGAAGATTCATGTCCCCAAAATATACAAAAGGGCAGTGCAAGTCAGTAGGACAAAGACAAGCAGCACGATAGGGGCATGGGCAAAGGGTGTGACCAGGCGAGAGAGGAGAAGCACACGTGGCTGACACAGAAGGCGTGGAGATTCTCTTTGTCCACGAGGCGGGCAAAACGTTGCTGAAGGTGAACAACACTCATTGCTAGCAAGTGTGTCCAGAATCTTCAGAAGCAGCAACTTCATCAGATTTCTGCTCATTCATTGGCATCCATCCTACACCCATCACCACTTGAGCCCATGGAGGTATGAGGACAAGGAGGGTCACTTCAGTGTTGCTGACAATAGACATTTGAGAACAAACCCTACACCCACTGATAAGGGACAGTTACAAATGCACGGCTCCCTCATCCAGGGGAACCCTAAGCAGACGTTAAAGCCGGTCCACCTGGACACGGGGCCCTGGGATGACATCACCGGTGAACTGCTCAGTAGAAAGGGTTGCATAGCAGATCAATTTCTCAGCACCGTCCATGTGCCCCGCTGGACCAAGGGCTTCACGCGGACGGTGAAGTTCAGCCCTTCAAAGACAACCTGTCAGGTGGGGACCACACTTAAACTCCTTCAGAGATGGGGAAACCCACTCAGCCAGTGCCAGCGGCAGCTTGGGAGCTGGCCGGCTTCCTGCCTGTCTGGCCCTGGCAGCCCCTCAGGGTGGGAGGTGATGGAGAGGTGAGGGCGTGCCCTTCTGATTGTATATGATTTTTCAAGAAGGTGGGAGAATTTCACTCCTTTTTGTGTCTTTAAATACCTCTTTCAGATAATAAATTCAGCATACAAAGATTTATATGACAATTGGCTCAAGCCTCACCCCGGTGGGATGGCCTGTCCACGGCCTCCCTAGCTGGCCAAGGCTTCCCTCGGGGGTTCCATCGCTCCAGGGCTTCCTGCCTCCTGGGAATTCTCAGCTTCTCTGCAGTACCCCAGCCCCCAAAACAGGAGGCACAAGCAAGAGCAGCACACTTTACTGAAGGGTGGGGTGGGGGCGGGGGCTGCATCACAGAGCAGGTGGCCTTCAATGGAAAAGCCCCTTGGCTGTGTCCAGCAGGGAATGGGCACCAATGCCCAGGACCGCAGGCCTCCTCTCTCTTCCTGGCTCACCAGCCCTGGACCCAATTCCTCGCCATCCCTCATGCAAGGCCAGCCTTTACAGGAACCACTGCTTTCCCTAAGGAGCCCAGGACCCAGCAGTGGCCATGAGATTGGGTCAGCCACAGGTGGCATGATGCAGCAGTGGCCAGAGACCAGGCCTCGGAGAAACCCTGGGGTGCCTGCCAAGCGGTGTGGTGAGCCTGGGCCGTGAGACGAGCCGCTGGTGGAGCATCTAGCGTGGTGGCCGGTGGGTGTGGGAGGCTGGGCTGGATGCGGGGGTGCAGGGCTGAAACTGGAGCAGGAAGGATCAAGACATCACTCCAACATTCCCCAGGCCAAGTCTTCCCTGCCCCCTCACCCCACGGCACCCAGTCCCTCCGGGCCAGCCCACAGAGAGGTGTGGGCTTCCTCAACCCCTGGCCACAGGGAGTGGCCTCAGGAGCCCAACTCAGGGCCAGGAGTGGCCGGAGTGGATGTCCAGTGAAGAGGCAGGGTGAGGGAACAGGAGGACTCCACTCGGCCTGAAGCAGCCCCCAGGGGCAGAGACAGCTGGGGTGGGGGCGAGAGGAGGCCAGCACGCGTGGTCTCATCTGTGAGTCTGTGAGGGCACCGTGTGCACTGCACGCTGAGTGTACAAGGGTGGGTGTGCACAGACATGGGCATGCACGTGTGGGTGTGGGCACGTGCACTGGGACACGCCAGTTTGTGCCAGTTATGTGCATGCCCCAGCACGTGTGCGCGGGGCACCTGGGGTGTGTGTGTGTGAAGGAGCAGGGCGGGCACGGGTGTGTGTGCACATGCTGGCTGCGTGGGCACCGTTTGTATGCTTGTCTGGGCATGAGTGTGTGTGCACATGCTGGCTGCGTGGGCACCACTGTTTGTGGGCGTGTCTGGTGTCTGTGGTGTGCTCACAGGATTCCGGTACCTCCCCCCAAGCCCACCCTGTGATCTTGCTCATCTCAGCTCTCACCCCATCACCCCAAGTGCTCCTAAACCTCACCAGGACCAAGCAGCCCCAGCACAACCACCCAGCACCCCAGTGCCCTGAGCCCAAGAGCCCAAGATCCTGGCTGAGCGCCCGCCCTGCCCCCAGCCCCTCCGCTCCCTCAGCACCTCATTCCCAGCTCTCTGCCAGGAACCCTTTCCCGCCCCCGACACCCAGGCTCAGACCCGGGTCTCAGGACTCAAAAGTGACTTTATTTCTCCGCAGAAGACGCCCTT
Organism: Homo sapiens; assembly: GCF_000001405.40. Lineage (NCBI taxonomy): Eukaryota > Metazoa > Chordata > Mammalia > Primates > Hominidae > Homo > Homo sapiens. Next base: position 153,545 of record NT_187573.1, read on the forward strand.
CCAGCTGGGCTGTTGCTTCACTTCCCCTCCGGGACCTGGGGGTCCCCCCCCACCCTCATCCCCAGGCCTCCTGCCCAGATGGCCTGGTTTCCTGGAGATGTCCAGCTGCCTGGGACTCAGAGCTGGCGGAGAGACAGGGAGGCTTCACGTCGGGGGAGGAGTGAGAGCCACAGGCCACAGCCACGGAGCTGGGCCAAGGCTGCCCCCAGCCCCAGCCACGCCAGGCTGGGGAGAGGGCAGCCACAGGCTCAGGGGAGCAAGCTCAGAAGCCCCGTGGGAAGGAGGAGACATCAGGGCCCAGCCCAGAGGAGGGCAGGCCCCAGGCTGAGCAGGAGCCCCCCGGCCAGGGCCCAGGGGCTGTGCCCTGCCCCTGCCGCCCCATTGCACAAATCCTTCTCGCAGCAGTCCACGTCGACCTTTAAGATCCCAGAGTTAATAAACCCCATCAGATAGTCTGAGAAAAAGTGTCGCTTAACGAAGTCACAGGAGGAGGCACACATCTTGTTCACCGAGTGATCCTTCCTGCCTGGGAAGAGAAAGCGTGGCCTGGGACGGGGGCTCCTCCTGGGCCCTCTCTGCCTCATCCCGAGGACCCAGCCCAGGCCCCTCCGGGTCAGCTCGGGGCCCCAGTAGGCAGGGCCGAGTCCCTCCACCCTCCCACGCTGGCCTCAACTAGATGAAAAGGGCCACCAAGGAGCCAGGGGGGGACAGCAGGACAGTATCCTGCCTGCCGCCCCACGCTCTCACTCTCGTCCCAGGCCAGAGGGGCTCCGAGGACACCTCTGACCTCTCTCAAGAGCCTGGCTTTTAGCACATTCCCCACCACCCTAAGTCCCAACTTACTGCTGCTGGGATCGGTGATTCGGACACTGGCACACACCGTGTCGGACGGCTGGCACTGCTTTGGGGTGCAATGGCTGGAGTTGGTGGTCAGGGTGCAGTCCTGGCACCACAGGCCATGAGCTGGGCAGGGCATGGGGAGGAGGGTGACCAGAGGCACTGGGGTCCAAACCAGGCAGCCCCCTGCGCCCCCCACCCATCCCCCTGCTGCAGGCACTCCTGGGAGAGCCCGACCCCACGGGAGGGAGCAGGCCCCCATGACCCCTGGAGGGGGAGCAGAGGCCCTGGGACAACTGTGCCCCATCCTGGCAGTTTGAGGGGAGCCCCTATGGCCCCTCCCTGGCCCCCATGCACGTGCGTGCACACACACACACAAACACACACACGGGCTATACAGACCCCACACCGACAGTGCCCCCCTCACACTCCCGCCCCGCCTCACATATCCCCCCCAGAGGTCCGTGGGTTCCAAGCTGTGAAGGACCAAACTGGATTTGAAAGGAGGCCCGGGAGGCTCTCAGAGGTGACGGATGACCAAGGGCTTCCGTGCGGGGCCAGCCGCCCACCAGTTCCAGGCCCTGGAGGAAGAGCGCTGGAGAGAGCCCAGTGCCGGGGCAGAGGGGCCGAGGGCCGGGCTGGGGTCGCAGGGGTCCCGGAGGGGGCGTGGGCTCTATGCGAAGTGCGGTGGGAACCGTCAGAGGGTGGCAGCCCCACACCCGGCTCTCCCGCGGCGCCTCGGGCTCTCCCAGGCACCTGACCCAGCCCGCGGGCCCCCTACTCACCGGGCGCCGAGCACAGCAGGACGGCCAGCAGCGCCAGGCCGAGGCCCTTCATGGCTGCAGGCAGCATGCTCCGGGTGGGCCTGGGGGCGGCGCGGGGGCTTGGGGCGCGGGTCCTCTGGGGCGCAAGCCTGGAGGGGAGAAGCATCGGTCAGGAGACCCCAAAGACCCTCTCCTTTCCCAGCCTCAGGATGCAACCTTCTCCCCGGAATCCAAGGCCGGGGTCCGCCCGGAGCTCGCAGAGCCCCACCCCCAGCCCCTTCTCCAGAGCGTCCGCCGTCACAGCATCCCCGCCGGGAGACGTCTGGCCTCTGGGGCGAGGTGACAGCTCGAGACGCCTCCGCCCCGCGCCGGCACCTGTGTGGGGGAGCGGATGGGGGGCGTCCTCTTCTCCCCGGGGAGCTGCAGGTGCGTCCGGACAGGAATGAGCGGCAGGGGCGGGAGCGGGTGGGACCTGCCACTGGGGGGAGGGGCGCGTGCCAGGTCCCCACCCCCACCCCTGGGCTGGGGGGCCGGGAACCCCGGGCCGAGTCCCCTCCCTTGGCCTTCCGCGCGCGCCTCGGCGCTCACCGCGGATGGGGCGTGGAGCGCGGGCCTCGGGGTCGGGGGGCTCACTCACATCCCGGGGGTGTCCGCACTCCGGGCTCGGGCGGCGTGCGCGGCGCGGGGAGCTGTGCCCTTCGGTCTCCCTGCGGACCGGAATCCGGGCGCAGCCTCGTCTTTCGGGGAACGCAGCCGCAGACGCGGACCCCGCGCGAGGGGCGGGGCGGAGCCGGGGCGGGGGCCGCGCGGGGGGCGGGGGCGGCTGGGAGACGCGCGGGGCGGGGGGCGCCCGGGGCTCGCGGCCCCCACGCAGGTAGCTGGCCCGGGCCCTCCGCGCCCCCTTGCTGGCGCGCGCGCTCCCTCGGGTTCCCGCTCCCTCCCTCGCGGCGCCCCCTGCTCCTCCCCAGCCTCCGCGGCCCCCTACCCAGGCGTGGGCAGGATCCCTTCCCCCTCTGCTTGGCTGAGATCCCCTTGGAATTTCTCGGAAGAACGTTTACTGCGAAAGGAAGCAAAATGCACAAAGACGCAGAGAGGGGGAGGTACCCGGCGCGGCGCCACGCGCAGGTCCGGGTTCGCAGACCCCTGGGGTCAGACTCCCGCCCTGGGGCCCCGCCCTCCCCCTCCTCCCCGCCCCTCCCCAACCTCATACCCGTTTCCCCGTTTCCCCGTTTCCAGTGGCTCCAGGCCGTTCTCCTCCCCTGAGCATCCATGAAGACCCCCACCAGAAGCCGCAGCCCCAGGGGCTTCTGTCGCCAAATACTCCCACACTCGGAGGTAAAGGTACAAATCCTGGCCAGAGCATCCGAGCCTTGGACCCGTTTCTCGGCTTCCTTGGCCTTCCCGCCCTGCCCTCCAGCTCCCTAAAAGCTGTGCCTTTGCACGTGTCCCTGTGCCTGAAATCCGCCTCCCCGGGGCACTGGGGAAGCCCCGATCTGCCATCGTGCCTTTGGTCCTGCTCCCTTTCATTTGACCTGAAAATGTTTACTGCATGCTCCCTGCTGCCCTAGCCCTGCCCTGAGCCCTGGGAAAGGGCATGAGGAGAGAGACCTGGTTTCTGCCCTCCTGACTCTCCCCTTGGACAAATGGTGATGCCTACTGCAGCATATCTTTGCAGGATGTGACAGAGCTAACATTTATTGAGCATGTACTATGGATTCCACCTGTTCTAGACACTTCATATTTATTATCTCCTTATAGTCTCACCACAGCCCTGCTGTGCAGATAGTATCATTTCCATCTCACAGATGAGGAGACTCACACGGAAAGGCGGCGCTCCCTGCTCGGGGTCACACAGTGACGCAGGTGACAGGTGACCCAGCTGAAGTGGGAACCCAAGCAGCTTGGGCTACAGGGACTGCACACCTCCGCTCCATTGTGGCTCCAGAGGGGTGGAGGCAAGGACGAGATGGACAAGAGACCACCACAGGAGCGTGCTTTGCCTCAGGGTCAGGGAGAGCTTCTCCCAGGACCTGATACTTTAGCCGAGAACTGAATGAGGAGTTGAGATTCATAAGGTGCAGAGGGCAAGAGCTAGATCAAGGTTCAAACACAATTCTTTTCAAAACATACAGAGCTCGCAAGAAAGTAAAAGAAATCTGAGTCCATAAAGAAAGAAGTAAATAGAATAATGGACTCCCAAAGTCTGCCCACTGAGCAGGAGGCAGATGTGAAACTCACAGTGGTCCTGGGCAGACCTGGACCCCCACGGGGTCTGAGGTCCCGGAAGCAGAGCCTGAGGCAGGGATTCCAGAGCAAGCCCTTTGGTTGGAGGTGGGGATAGCAGCCCTGGGGAGTGGGGAAGTGGTCCAGGGTGGGGAAGGAGGCTGGCAAGCATGTGGTACTCAGCAACCCCCCGCAGTGGGGAAATGGAGCCTGACCCCAGAGAGGTACTCTGGGAAGTGGTGTAAACTGTGAGCCTCAGGTGAACTCACCCAAGGGATGAGGGAACAGGTATTTCACAGCGACACCCAAGAGTCATTGATTGAGGGCTGCCCCGAGGGATGCTTTCTCCTGCACCCTCCACTTGGCACCCACACAGAGCCCTCCGGGGAGCCAGGGTGGTCCCAGGTCAGTAGCATCCCTGCTTGCAAAAGCAAAACCAACGATGAATACTCTGGAGAAAGCAAGCCCCAACTTAGGGACTGAGGTTCCCACAGATTTAACTGAATCAAATATGAGTTCAAAATGAAAAATCAGCACATGTCTAAAGAAAGCAAGCCTCCAAGTGAGACTCAGCTGACAGTGACGAGCAACAGATTTAAATCACCACAAACTTTCTAAATGGAAAATATCAAATATAGGATATAAAATTAACCTATTTGTTATGCTTAAGATATATTAAAATAAGGAACAAAGCACTATGAAACCAATCACCATGCTTATCAGAAAAAAATAGAACCTCTAGAAATGAAAAACTTTTCATTGAAATGAAAAGGTCAGCAGAAACCTTGAAAGAATTACGGTAACTGAAAGAAGCCAGTCACAAGAAAACACATTGTGTGGTTTTCTTTTTATGAAATGTCCGGAATAAACAATCCAAGAGAGACAGAAGGTAGCTTAGTGGTTGCCTTGTGCTAGAAGGGTGGGATAGGGGAATCAGTCCTCCTTAGGGACTGGTAATAGGCACTACTAATAAATAAAGTGATAAAAGCACTCATTTAGGAGTGATGAAAATGTTCTAAAAATAGTGATTATGGTCACACAACTCTATGAATATACTACAGACCCCTGGCTTGTATATTTAAAAGGGTAAATGCTATGGTATGTGAATGATATCTCAATAAAGGTGTTTAAAAAAATACTCAGCAAACAGATTACGCAGCAAATTAAACACAACTGAAGAGGGAATTCATAAACTAGAAGATAAATCTTTAAAAAATTACCAAGAATGTAGCACAAAGGATAAGGAAATAGAAAATAGGGAAAATAAGAAACATAAAAGATGGTGTTTTCCTGATGCCCACTTAAGTCTGAGCAAGAAAAGAAGAAAAGAAAAAACTAAAATAAAATAAAACAAAAAGATGGTGTGCAGAGAGCTTATGGAAGTCTGGTTGAAATCTCAAAGGAAAGAGAGTCAATCATTGAAGAAGTTATGCCTGAGAATATTTCAGAACTGATAAAAAATAAGTATGCACAGAGAGGCACAACATGGACTAAATAGAATAAAGAAAAATAAAGTTTAGATGACAGAGTGAAATTGCAGAAGACCTTTAAGCCAGCCAAAAAGAAAAGGAAGATCAGCTCCCAGGAAACAGCAATAAGATTGCCAGCAGAATTC